>NT_187560.1:0-209988 GCF_000001405.40 Homo sapiens
CTCAGAGGGGCTGAGGCAACGGGAAGACCCACAGCTGTGAGACACGAGACCGCATCACTCCGTGTGACTGGCAGTCTCATTGCACTCCCAAATTCCAATGAATAAAACCTAAAAGGAGATGGAAACGAATGACTGAATTGAACTATGTGAAGCTCAGCCTTATTTGGTGTATTAACAGAAAAAGTGACGTGATATTGAGACTTCAGATTAGTGACTTGAGGTGAGTTAAAATCAGTTCAGCTCAGTTTGGGTCTCACACACATGTGAGCTCAGATGTATGCATGTGACCCCACCCAATGGCTCTGAAGATGCGGTTCGCTCCTCAAACTTTCCAGACTTTTCTCTCCTCAGAAGTTTGCTGGGAGGAAGGAGAAGCGGGAGGAACAGAACCAGATTGACGTTCTCGCGTCTCTTCTTACTTGGGCGTATTTATAGCATCCCCGCTAAGGACGCCCTCGTTTTAGAGGAACATGTTTTACATTTTTTTTCCAGCCTCCAGGCTGCCTGGCAGCCTCAGGCGGAGAAGCAGATTGACTCGGTGTCAGGGTCACACTCTCAGGCCCCTTGGCGGCACAGACAGGGTGAGGGTGCCTGCTGGGGCCCCTCTCTCTCCTCTCCCTCCCGAGCGGCGTCTGTGCTGTGAATTTTCACGGAGACACAGGCTGATCCTTCGTGCGTCCTTGGCTGGCAGTTGTTGGTGACTTACAGTCATTCATGTGCTGGCAACGGATGGCCCTGCTGTCTTGTGTTGGGACAGCTGTGCGCATCGGCGTCATTGATATGATTTGAATTTGGTGCTATCTGGTGTGGCTTTGTAACTAAAGTCATAAATAGTGGAGAAACGATGTGTCTGGTTCTAAATTAACAGTGGGACTGGGTGCAGTGGCTCACGCCTGTAATCCCAGCACTGTGGGAGGCCAAGGCAGGCGAATTGCTTGAGCTCAGGAGTTCAAGACCAGCCTGGCAACATGGTGAAACCCCTTCTCTACAAAAAGTACAAAAATCAGCCAGGTGTGGTGGCATGTGCCTGTGGTCTCAGCTACTCGGGAGGCTGAGGTGGGAGGATCACTTGAGCCCAGGAAGAGGAGGTTGCAGTGATTAAGCCTTTGCACTCCAGCCTGGGCAACAGAGCCAGACTCTGTCTCAAAAACAAACCAACAAACAAATGGCGGGAGGAACACAAATCGTAGTAAGTATGATATGCAGGTTTCCGAGCCCAGATGTGCAGCCCTGGATTTTCAAGTCTTCCCTCAAGTCAGGACTTTAAGGAAAGAACTCTGGGTTTTGTGTTTCTGCACAATGAAGTTCTAATATCTGACTCCCAAACTTCTTCCCCGTGAGACTGCCTTAATGATGCTTATGTAGACTGGACTGGAATCCCCACTAAGAGAATAAATTACCCGTTAACCAAGACGGTCTCCAGGTGTGTGTGTGCCTTGGCTTGGAAGTTCAATTTCACAGTAGTTAGAATAGCTGCTTGACCCCACAGGCCTGAGAGGGGAGGTAGGATTCAAGGAAGCTGGAGAGTGAGCCCAGCAGGGGCATGTCCTAAAAACCCCGAGAAGGTATTGGAGTGCCCGGCTGGGGTGTGGGTGTCAGCTGGGGGTGGAGGCGGGCGTGCCCTCCCGAGGGTGTTTTGCTGGGGGTTCCTCTGCTGAGTGGGCCCGTCCTTGGTGATTGTCCCTGGTGCACGGCTGGCTTGTTAAGCAGGGGCGAAGCGTGCACAAGGTCACCTTTCTCCAGCATCCTCATCTTCATGGTCTCGCTGGGAGAGTGGCCGGGGGTGCCTGAATCAAGGGAACTAGAACAGGTGCTGAAGCTGTTCCCACTCGCAGGAGGAAGAGCAGCATCTGGCCCCAGACAGGGGGAGCTGGGGAGTCCTCAGGGCCCTTCGGGGCCTCCCTAGACAGGGGAAGCCGGGGAGTCCTCGGGGCCCTTCGGGGCCTCCCCAGAACTGTGCTCGTTGGTGGCATCCACAGGCTGCTCCTCTGGGAGCTTGTTGCTTTTCGGGTCCTGAGCCCTCCCGCCTGCCACCGTGGCGTCAGGGAAACTGGTGCCTCCCAAGCACCCCCAGCTCTTCTGCATGAGAAGGTTGGAGACTGTGCTGCAGCCGGGGTTCTTATGATCACCTTCCTCCCTCGCCAGCATCTGCCCTGGAGCTGAACGAGGACCACCAGGCTCCTCAGGGCCTGTCTCCGTGGGGCACCAGGAGGCGCAAATGCCAGTTTGCATCATTGCCCTGTTTTCAGCTGTCCAGGATGCCCATGTCTGCAGAACGCAGTGTGCACAGTCCCACAGGGCACCCCGTGGCATCACCCGGCCTCTCTCTTTGACTTCTCTCCCGCTGAACAGCGAGTGCTTCCCCAAAGCCATGGGCAGCCCCACTCCCGACTCCCTCAGTGGTCAGACGGTCACCCGCCTCTTAGCCGACCTTGGGAAGAGGGTCCCTCTCAGATGGGCACCCGCCTCTTAGCTGACCTTGGGAAAAGGGTCCCTCTCAGACGGGCACCCGCCTCTTAGCTGACCTTGGGAAGAGGGTCCCTCTCGGAGGAGGGGTGCCCACATTCTGCTGGGCGGTTGACTCTGGTGGAGGTGGCCCGTAGTTTGGGCGGGCACATGGGCATGCTCTGTGCAACCTGCAGCATTTACTAAGATGCTCTTGAAAGACCGTTTTCCCTTTTATCTGCTGGGTTGACTTTCCCATTTATCAAATTAACTTTCTAAACCCTTAAATTTCAGAGATTTGAGAGGATAAGGAATTGTTTAGTAGATGAAACTCATTTTCATATTTCCAGAGGCATGTCCAAAAACTAAATGGGGTTGAGCATTTCTCAGGGAAAAGTTGACTCGGGGTGCCAGTTACACGCAGTGTTTTCCAGAGGTCCTGGGGTCCAAGGCCTTCCCATGGCTGAATCTCCCGGTTTACTCCGCTTTTTGATGAAGGAGCAAGTTTTGAATGTGGAGTCCTGTAGAGTTCGCTGTGCCTCTTGGGTTGGCCTGGCTTAGCTGTGGCTGATGACCAGCTGTGAGGGGACACAGTGGGGCCGCACGGGGGCTGGGCCAGTGCTGCACCCGCCCAGCGCCAGGGCTGACCTCATTTGCTTATAGCCTGCTTTTGCTTTTGGTCTCCTAAGCGCGAGATCTTGATGTCTACCTAGAAATGTCACTGACGTAGGAGAAAGGGATTTTTTTTTTGCTTTTACCATGAAGGGTTGTCATGGGCCTGTGTGAAAGACATTAAGTAAATTAGATATCAGCCCCAAGGAATGTTAATATCTGAGATTTATACTGGAGTAGTTTTCGCTTCCCAATTTATTTTCTTTTAAATACTTAAAACATTTGGTTTTTAAGCTATTTATAGCCAACCTTTTTTTAAAAATTAATGTTTAAAATGTTTTTTTCCCCCCAATCTATCATGGTTGACTGTTAGACAGTTGGATGGCTGTGTGGTTTTCAAAGCTGAGGTCAAGTTTGAATGAGCTCATTTCAGATCACTCTAGATTTTCTGAGGCTGACAGTGTCCTTGGGACACCATGTTTGGGGAATGTGTTTTTGCAGTTTACGAAGCACCCGCTGCTCAGAGAGCCGGGAAACCTTTCCTTCTCTTTTCTTGGAGTCTAGTTGCCATGGAGATTGTCACTAAATTATGGACGAGGGAGAGGCGAGCCGGCACTTGGAGGTCTCTGATACGCAGGCTTCTCAATCAGGGTGCACAGACACAGCAGAGGCCGTGCAGAGGCTGCAGCTTGCCCTCCCGGCTGTCCTGGGCGTGGATGTAGCCTCCCGAAACAGCTCGTCAGAGGGGTTTATTCAGAGAACGGAAGTGTGCTTATGGCAGGAAGAGCTTCAAGGGTTCTCACATATGTTTACAGCTGCTCTTTCTCCTTAGCAGGACTCTGAGTGGCTGCAGTGTTTAGAGAAATCTGCCAAATCCTGATTTAATTTTGGTTCATTTGCTAACAGGATTGGAGGAGATAGGAAATTGATCTTGGGGACCGTGAAGCTGCTGAGGTTCAGCCACGACCAGGAGTTTGGAGGGATAATGTCTGTGCGTGGCCATACCATTTTGAAAAGCACAAAACCTTTTATCATTAAAGCAGAAATATCGAACCAAACGTGGATTCTAAAGATTATGCATACAACAAACACATGTCTTTCGGTGCGTGGGTAAAACCCATAACTAATTTCAGGCCTAATCTCAGTGGCTCAGCAGTGCAGTGTGGGCAAATGCTTAACCACCAGCATTTGCAGCATTTGGGACCTGATTTGCAGCCGGGTTCTCTAGTGTAAGGCCCCCGCCCCGCCGCCACTGCTGCCTCCCAGTTACTGACGCAGTGTCACTGAAGGTGGAGTTGGGAGGAAATGTGGACGGCCAGCTCTCGGGCCCTTGCATGCAACGGCCTTGTTATTTTAGAGGCGCCGTCTAATCATTCTTGGGACGTTGGTCTGCTCTGTCTTTTGAGGCAGTTTCCATAGAGGTGGGGTCTGTGTTAAGAGTGCATTGAAGGGTGAGTGATTTCCCTCTAACTGATGGGTGATGTTCATGGTCTGAGTCTGTGTGCAAAGCTTAGCCTGGGGCTGCTTTGGAACCTGCTCTCTCTATTCCAGGCCTGGGTGCTTTGAGATATTCTTGAGCTGGAATAACACCCAGCACCTGCTCTTGTGACTGAAATGGCGTAAAGTAATAATAGTGCACTGCATGGGGGTTAATGCCTTTCTGAGTGTTTTATATGTTATCGTGTTAGATTTCTGCACCGTCACTGACAATAACAGGGCATGTATTTTTGTTCTCATTTAACAGATGACAAACTTGGTCCCTTAGTGTTAAATGTGGGTGACACACAGGCAGAATCTGATCTGGAACCACACTGATCGGGCGTCTTCCCATCCTTCCTCCAATCAGCTCACCCTTCGGCTTCTCAAAGGCCCACGGAATTTATGGTGGTTCATCGTTCTTTGCCTTAAGATGCAGGTTCTAGATTTGCTACTGGGACCCACGGTGACTTTGATTTGTCTCTTGTGAACTCTCTATGATGCTGGCAAAAGAGAGGAAATGGTCACGTATTGGTCAGATGAATGTTGCAGGGAAGAATAATTGCATTACATGAAATGCCTGCAGGAACCGTGGTGGGAATGGAACCGTGGTGGGGCAGGAACCGTGGCGAGGCCGGAACCGTGGCGGGGCCGGAACCGTGGCGGGGCCGGAAGCATGATTGGAGTCAGGTGGGCCACATTTCCTGGCTGTCCCATGTCTTCTCTTTGCCCTGACAGTGGTCTCAGCCGACAGAACGGGCAACAGACACGCACCCAGCCTGAGAGGGGCCCTGGGGCCGGGGCGCCCGCCAATTGTCAGAGTCTTCTTGGTTGCTTTTCAATTCAGAAATCAGAGAAATGATTTGTAGAGAGTTTTCCTTTTCTTTATTCATTTAGCTTGAAATCAATTTTGTTAGTAAGGTTTTTTTTTTGTTTGTTTGTTTTTGTTTTTTTGAGACGGAGTCTCGCTCTGTCCCCCAGGCTGGAGTGCAGTGGCGCAATCTCAGCTCGCCACAACTTCTGACTCCCGGGTTCAAGCGATTCTCCTGCCTCAGCCTCCCTAGTAGCTGGGACTACAGGCACCTGCCACCACACCCAGCTAATTTTTGTATTTTTAGTAGAGACAGGGTTTCACCATGTTGGCCAGGTTGGTCTCGATCTCCTGACCTTGTGATCCACCCGCGTCGGCCTCCCAAAGTGCTGGGATTACAGGTGTGAGCCACTGCGCCCAGCCATTAGTAAGGTTTTAAACTTGTCCTCAGAATTAGAAGAAATCCCAGAGACTGGAGACCAGCAGTGCTGTGTGTGGGTGAGACCCTGTTGAAGATCCCTTGGTAAGTCCAGTGGGCGTGGTCCATAGGAGGGGGAGGCGGGAGGGGAGCTGGCTCAGGAGAGGCTGGCTTTGCCTCCAAAGAAGAGCCCCACCCTCTTGTGCTGGCCTCTCGTGCTGGCCTTTTCCTATTGTCCTTCAGAGAGGAGGAAGCTTTGCTCAGCTTCTCACCAATTAAAAGAGCACTGTGAGGTTGGACAGGAGTGCAATTTATGAAAACAAAACAAAAAAAACCTTTGACATGGTGAAACCCCGTCTCCACTAAAAATATGGTGAAACCCTGTCTCCACTAAAAATATAAAAATACAGAATTAGTCGGGCATGGTGGTGCACGCACGTAATCCCAGCTACTTGGGAGGTTGAGGCAGGAGAATCGCTTGAACCTTGGAGGCAGAGTTTGCAGTGAGCTGAGATCTCACCACCGCACTCCAGCCTGGGTGACAGAGCAAGACCTCATCTAAAAAAAAAAAAAATCCATGTGATCTATAAAATCTCACGGAAACACACACCTAAGGTCACGCATTTCACTGTAACATGAGCGGGAAGATGTACTGAGCCTGTTCTCCACCTCGGTGAATGCTCCGACCCCCTCTTGCCTCACCTCCCACTGTATACATTTGTTCCTTTTTAATTTTTTGAAGACTGGTCAAGTGCAGTAGAGAGAAGGCGGAAAGGGTACAACAAGGAGCTAGATTGGGAACTGACTGAGCAGCCGGTCGGGGTGACGCAACGCTACCTTCCTACCCCCACCCTTTGCTCCTGTTGTCGCTGAGTCGTGCTCCGTCGAGGGACACACCACGTCTTGCTTGTACCCACACAGGTTGTTCCCAGCATTTGGCTGCTGTGAGCATCCTCGCGTGAACCTTTTCAGGAGCTGAGCTCTTAGAGGAGAAGGCAGCGCTGTGTTGAGCACCCACCGGGAGAAGTTCCGTCAAATCCAGGGTACTTGAGATTCTGGAAAGATGCAGAAATGTAAAAAATAAAAACAAGCAACAAGCGGTTTATCCCACAAGTCACTAGGAAAATGTATTGTTGTCTCTCTAACAGTCAAATCCTATTGGTCGGCCTTAGTTTTTCTGCAAAACAGAATAAATTTTATGTTTTTTTCCCCAGTTGTTGAAATAAAATGCTATAACCATATTTGCTTATAAACTATGTCCAAATGAGATTCTTTTATTTCTACTTGACGATTTTCCACCATGTCAGGCCCTGTTATGATGGCAGCCCGTTGTGATGCACTAGGACAGATCCCAGCTCCCAATTCTTTTATGAGGCACTAGGACAAATCCCAGCTCCCAATTCTTTTATGAGGCACTAGGACAAATTCCAGCTCCCAATTCTTTTATGATGCACTAGGACAAATCCCAGCTCCTGTTATGGCAACAGCCCGTTATGATGCAATAGGACAAATCCCAGCTCCCAATTCTTTTATGATGCACTAGGACAAATCCCAGCTCCTGTTATGGCGACAGCCCATTGTGATGCAATAGGACAGATCCCAGCTCCCAATTCTTTTATGATGGCACTAGAACAAATCCCAGCTCCCAATTCTTTGCATTTTTTTTTTTTTTTTTTTGGCCAGGTTTTCTCTCTCACTTGCTGGGGCACGAACAGATGCTCTTTGGTGTTTTTAATGATTGAGGAGCATCTTGCTGTTGTCGTTCTCATTTGTTTTCAAGGAACAGAAACGCTCTCGAGCGAGTGCTCGGTGGAGCTGGGCAAGCTGCTGACCACAGGGGAAGATGACTCAACAATTGGGATTTTGCTTCTTCTTTCTTTAAAAAGATGCAAAAGAACTAGACCCACACTTTACACATTTTTTTGGTGTGTTCATTGTGGACTAGTGTTGTTGTTGTTGTTGTTGAGACAGGGGAGATGGTCTCCCTCTGTTGCCCAGGCTGGAGTGCAGTGGTGCTATCTTGGCTCACTGCAACCTCCCCCTCCTGGGGTTCAAACGATTCTGCTCCCTCAGCTTCCTGAGTAGCTGGGATTACAAGTGCCTGCCACCACCACTGGCTCATTTTTGTATTTTAGTAGAGACAGGATTTCACCATGTTGGCCAGGCTGGTCTCAAACTCCTGACCTCAAATGATCCACCTGCCTTGGCCTCCCTAAGTGCTGGGGTTACAGGTGTGAGCCACTGTGCACAGCCAAAAACAGTGTTTTCCTTTCCTCAGTCTGAAAGCCTGACACTGTTGATCCACCAGGAGTGTGCATGGGTGTGCATAGTGTTGATCCACCAGGAGTGTGTGTGGGTGTGCATAGTGTTGATCCACCCGGAGTGTGTGTGGGTGTGCATAGTGTTGATCCACCGGGAGTGTGCATGGGTGTGCATAGTGTTGATCCACCCGGAGTGTGTGTGGGTGTGCCTACTGTTGATCCACCAGGAGTGTGCCTGGGTGTGCACACTGTTGATTGACCAGGAGTGTGTGTGGGTGTGCATACTCTTGATCGATTGGGAGTGTGTGGGTGTGCACATTGTTGATCGGGAGTGTGCGTGGGTGTGCACGCTGTTGCTCCACCGGGAGTGTGTGTGGGTGGGGGGTGTGCATGCCTGTATGCACAATAGAGTCTCGATCTTTGTGGGACAAGCATAGGGGACTGGGCATCAGTCAGGAAGCTTGGGCTTGTCTTGCCCTGCCACCACCCTGCGCACCCCTCTCTATTCAAGCCACAGCTCTGTGCACGTTGGATTTCTTACGTGCAAAACAAGGGGGTCAGCCATGCCGGTGGTAACACCTGGAAACACCTGGAAGCTTTGAAAAATAGTGATGCCCAGACATAAACTGGCGCCAGTGAATCAGAATGTCAGCTGAGGGCGGCGAGGGGCGGGGTGGGGGCGGGACCCAGGCTTTGCCGTCCTTTCTTTTTCTCTGAAGCTTCCCGAGGTGACTGTAATGTGCTATCAGAGTTGAGGATCTCTGGGCAAGACGATCCTGATGAAACCCTCCCACCCTGAAACGCCAGCTGTGCTTTGTGTAACAAAGCCAAAGGTGCGGTGAGGGAATTCAGTTTCCTCATTATTACTTCTATGGTTTGTTAGCAAAAACATAATTAGCATGAAAGATATTTCTCTGTGGACATGCAAATCAATGCAAATGACTAATTTGCCATTTAAGAATTTGCAAATTGCAATGCAAAATTGTCTTAGGTAAATAACCCTAGTCTAATTGAGTGACAATATTCTGTGTTTTGTTATTAAGGCTATTAGCTGAAGATGTAGGAAGACTGTAAAAATGCCACAATTTTTGCTTATACATGCAGTGTGAGTTATAATTTACGGGAGATTTTATGCACATTGTTTCACTTGAGCCCCACAATTCCAGTTGCATCCTAGACTAGCTACTGTAAAGTAGCACAGGGTAAATGGGTGGCGGTGAAAGCAAGAATTTGAACAGCTTGCCACAGTGTAACAAACGCAACAGCAACAGAAACATCAACAGGGCCTTCCCCGGGGGCTCCCAGGTCTTTGGCAGCAGAATTACCCAAGTTTTGGCCAGTGACTTAAACACACGCCATGTAAAAGGATGAGATGGGAACAGAACAAAGAGCCCAGAAATAAACCTGACCATATATGGTCAACTAGGTGTGAAGCAGACTCTGGGGTAAGAGCCGTCTCTTTAAATGGTTTCGGGGAAACTGGACATCCACACTCAAAAGAATGAAATGGGACCTTACCTTACACCGTTCTCAAAAATCTGCCCAAAATTGGTTAAAGACCCAAACACAAGATCTGAAACTGTAAAACTCTGAAAACATACAGGAAGAGCTCCTTGACATTGGTCTCGGCAAGAAGTTTTGGACAAGACCCAAAAACACAGGCAACAAAAGCAAAATAAATGAGTGGGACTATATCAAACTGAAAAGCTGCCGTGCGGTAAAGGAAACCATCAAAATGAAAAGGCAGCCTACAGGGCGGGAGAAAATGTTGAAAAACCATAGATCTATAAGGTGTTAATATCTAAAATATATAAGGAACTCACTCAACTCAATAGCAAAACAAACAAACAAACAACACACAAAAAAAACCCAAAAGCCAAAAAACCCCCAAACCCTCCAATTTTAAAAAGGGCAAAGAACCTGAATAGAACATTTTTCCAAAGAGGACATACAGATGGCTGACAGGTATGGGAAAGGTGCTGAGCATCACTAATCATTGGAAACGCACATCAGAGCCCCAGTGACTTACCCTCTCACACCTGTGAGAATGGCTTTTATCAAAAAGACAGAAGATAACAAGTGTTGGCAAGTGTGTAGAGAAAAGGGACACTTGGATGCTTTGTTTGAGACAGTCTCGCTCTGTCCTACAGTGGCACGATCTCAGCTCACTGCAACCTCTGCCTCCTGGGTTCAAGTGATTCTCCTGCCTCAGCCTCCCGAGTAGCTGGGATTACAGACATGTGCCACCATGCCTAGCTAATTTTTATATTTTTAGTAGAGATGGGGTTTCACCGTGTTGGCCAGGCTGGTCTTGAGCTCCTGACCTCAAGTGATCCACCCGCCTCAGCCTCCCAAAATTCTGGGATTACAGGCGTGAGCCACTGCACCTGGCCAACTTGCACACTGTTTATGGAAACAGTGTGTAGGTTCCTCAAGAAATTAAAAACAGTGCTACCATCAACGCCTCTTTTGGTTATAGATCCAGAAGAAATTAAATGGGCAGAAGAGGTGTCTGCACCCTGATGCTCATTGCAGCACTATTCACCAGGGCATGGAGACAGTACAGGTGTTTCTGATGGATGAATGGATAGAGCAATTGTGGTATACATACACAATGGATACTATTCAGCCTTAAAAAAGGAGATCCTGTCATTTTCAAAACATGGATGAACCTGGAGGACATGATGTTGTAAATAGTGTGAAGTAAGTGAAATAAGCCAGGCACAGAAAGGCAGATACTGCATGATCTCACACATATGTAGAATCTTAAAAAAAAAAGTTGACTACATAGAAACAGAGAGTGGAAAGCTGGTTATGGTTTGGGGGGTGGGAGTGGCGAGGAATGAGAAGATGTGGATGAGAGGGTAGGAAGCTGCAGTTTTGTGGGAGGAGTGAGCCCAGGGGCCTAATGCACAGCGTGAGGACTGTATGTAGTAACAACATTGGATTGTTTACTGGTAATTTGCCCAGAGGGTGCCTCTAGGAGAGGGTGGAGGCAGAGGTGTTAACTCTTGACCACAGTGGCCACCTCAGTATGCATGTATGTATCCAACATCATGTTGCACGCCTCAAATGTACATCCAAAAATTTTACAAAATGATGAGTTGGATTTTGTTATCTGCTTTAAGGATGTCCATTTTATTACTGCATGGATGCATCATGCAACAGGAAGTGGGGTGTGTGAGGCGTGAGGCAGGGATCTGGGTTCAAGGCCTGAAAGTATGTAAAGCTGCTCAGCACGTGTGACTGCGGGTCCCCAGGCAAAGTAGCTTAGCCCACATGACTGCACCCATAACTGCTGGCTTTCTGGGTTCTAGGCTTACGTGATCAGAGACCAGGTTTGTTTTTGCCCAGCCCAAGTCCAGCACACATGTGGCAGGTAGCTGGCTTTTCCCAAGCATCCACTGGAGGCCCCTGGATCAATGCATTCAGGGCAGTGTCTTGGGAAGGATATAAACTGTGCAGTGGTTAAACAGCTGGTACTTGGACTGTGAGAGCTGAGCCTTTCAGTGCTTCCAAGTACTGACTCTTTCTAAGCCTCAGTTTGCTTGTCTCTAAAGTAAGCATAGCAATAATGCCTTCTTTGTAGTAAGATTTAATGTGATACTGCAAATAAAATATTTAGTACAGTATCTACTAAAGATTAGATGGCATAGATTAGATGCTCAGGAATGTTAGTGAAAACAGTTATCATAATGAAAAAATGCCCTCATGAGCTTCTGTCTACTGCAGGGATAAAGTGGTAAATAAATGATGTGTACAGGAGATACAGTAAGGGAGTAAGGGGTGTGGTATGAATGAAGAACCAAGAAAGCATTTTAAGAATTCAAAGGGGTCACGGGGTGGGAAAGAAGAGACATCCAGTGGGAGAATCAAGACAGTCTCTGGGGGAGTAATCATGATGGATCTTGATAGGACTGGATTTGAAGGCTGGAGAGCCACCAGAGTGTCACTTCGCACAAACTCTGCAAGATGGGCACTCTTAGTATCTCCACATACAAGGCCCAGGAGAGGAGGCCCAGCATGCTTTAGGAAATGTCCACAGCCACACAGCTGATTGGTGCTGGAATCTGGACTTGTATCTCAGCAGCTTAGCTCCAGTCTGCGATAAGAACACCATAGCCTCTGTAACTAGCTGTGTTATCCTAAGAAAATTACTTAGCCTTTCTGAACTTCAACTCCCTTATCTCTAAAATGGGGATAATACATTGATCTGAAGGTCAATGATAATGAGCATAAGGGTGTAGCACAGAATCTGGCACTGGTGATATTTACTCATTGGCATGGCAATGATAGCGATGGTAAGGATGATGATGGTGATGATGAAGTGATTGTTTACTAAATGGCATGCCAATGATGGCGATGGTAAGGATGATGATGGTGATGATGAAGGATTATTTACTAAATGGCATGGCAATGATGGCGATGGTAAGGATGATGACGGTGGTGATGAAGGATTATTTACTAAATGGCATGGCAATGATGGTGATGGTAAGGATGATGATGGTGACGATGAAGTGATTGTTTACTAAATGGCATGGCAATGATGGTGACGGTATGGATGATGACGGTGATGATGAAGTGATTACTTACTAAATGGCATGGCAATGATGGCGATGGTAAGGATGATGATGGTGATGATGAAGGATTATTTATTAAATGGCATGGCAATGATGGCGATGGTAAGGATGATGACGGTGGTGATGAAGGATTATTTACTAAATGGCATGGCAATGATGGCGATGGTAAGGATGATGATGGTGATGATGAAGGATTATTTACTAAATGGCATGGCAATGATGGCGATGGTAAGGATGATGACGGTGGTGATGAAGGATTATTTACTAAATGGCATGGCAATGATGGCGATGGTAAGGATGATGATGGTGATGATGAAGGATTATTTACTAAATGGCATGGCAATGATGGCGATGGTAAGGATGATGATGGTGATGATGAAGGATTATTTACTAAATGGCATGGCAATGATGGTGATGGTAAGGATGATGACGGTGGTGATGAAGGATTATTTACTAAATGGCATGGCAATGATGGCGATGGTAAGGATGATGACGGTGGTGATGAAGGATTATTTACTAAATGGCATGGCAATGATGGCGATGGTAAGGATGATGATGGTGATGATGAAGGATTATTTACTAAATGGCATGGCAATGATGGCGATGGTAAGGATGATGACGGTGATGATGAAGTGATTACTTACTAAATGGCATGGCAATGATGGCGATGGTAAGGATGATGACGGTGATGATGAAGTGATTACTTACTAAATGGCATGGCAATGATGGTGATGGTAAGGATGATGATGGTGATGATGAAGGATTATTTATTAAATGGCATGGCAATGATGGCGATGGTAAGGATGATGACGGTGATGATGAAGTGATTGTTTACTAAATGGCATGGCAATGATGGCGATGGTAAGGATGATGATGGTGATGATGATGGTGAAGATAGTGATGATATGGTGATGACGATGATGGTGATGATGATGATGGTGTTGATGATAACAATGATGGTGATAACAATGATGATGGTGACGGTGATATTGACAACAATGATGATGACAATGAGGATGGTGATAACAATGATGATGATATGGTGATGACAATGATGGTGATGATGGTGGTGATGGTAATGGTAATGATGATGGTGATGATGGTGGTAATGATAATGACAACATGATGGTGATGACAATGATGGTGATGGTGATGATGACAACAATGATGGTCGTGATGGTAATGATAATGATGATGAGATGCTGATGGTGATGGTGATGATAGTAATGATGCTGATGGTGATGGTGATGATAGTAATGATGATGATGGTGACAATGGTGATGATTTGGGGTGGGGGACAGAAATGAGAAAAGATGGAGTTAGGGGATGATGGGCTCACCTGCCCTTTTGGCCCTCCAGTTCTGTACTTGCATATTGAGGGGCTTGGTCTACCTGGTGTTGCCCAAATGACTAGAACCATGTAGGAAGCTTATAAAAGTACACAGATCCAGATCCTATACCAGACTGACCAAGTCGGCATCTCCCATCTGGGGCTTTGGGGTTTATGGTTTTAGTACAGTTGACTGTAATGTGCAGCCAGGCTGGGGAAACATGAAACTAATGATCTGAGTTCAAATCATCACTGCTAAAATGAGCACAAGGGAATAGAACCAGTTATTCGTGCTGAATAAAATAAATGTAACCCCCAAGTTGTTGCACTGCTATTTGAAATAATTTATGTTATTGATTTTCTTCAATAAAACTGAGCTGTGTGTGGATTTGCCTGAAGGGGTCTGTGTCCCAACCTTCAACTCATCCTCTGTTTTCCTGGATCCCCACACAATCGTAGGCAGCTTAGCTTGTAGTTTTGCGGACTGTGAGCTGGACATCCTTCCTGTGTTTGAAAATGAACCTGTCATCAGCACAGGTTTTACGTGAGAAACACAGGGCCTGAGGCAGCTATATGACACGTCTCAGGGTGGAAGGAGGGGAGAGGAATTCATTGAGGAACCACTCCTTTTTGTCTTAGTTTTAAGGCAGTAAATGACTTGTCATCCTCAGGAAAGCTAACAGGCAGGTGTTCCCTCTTTCTCTACCACCATTTTCATGGCCGAGACAGGACCAGGCACCCCTTAATTTTCACATATCATCTCTAGGACTCTGTGTGTTTTCTGTCAAATGCAAGTACGGTATCGCATCATGTGAGAGCAGAAGGTGTGACAGAGGCCGGGTGTGGTATAGATGATGCCAGCACACCAGACAAATGCCAGATAGTAGAAGCCACAGGGGCCTCCGGTGCATGGCGTCTGAGGGTCTTTATGGGCCTGCTGGGAGGGAGGTGGTCAGGAGCATCAGCCCGCTGTATGAGGATCTGCACTGCCTTTGAGAAGTGACATCCTGGGATAAACAAGCTCACCCAAACTCCTCCAGAAAGAACCCAACAATTTATTTTTATTTGGAGATATAGGGCGAGTGTTGGGATCAAAGCCTGGGGCAAGATGGTCCCAGAGAGGGGCCCTGGTGTGTGGACCTAGAAAGCAGAGCAGCACAGGGCGTGGGCGGAAGCACAGGGGGTCTGAAAGCATGGAAGGAGAAGTACGAACCGAAGCACCCAGGCGGTTCTATCCAAGGACGGGAGGCGTTCACCCAAGCGCCGGCTCCTGCAGCAAGGCAGGGATTCTCTGCCATGGGGTGAGTATGGGTTGTTTCCTTGGAAGTCACAAATATGCCAGTGTCTTTAGGCTCAGTAACTCAGACTGTAGGAACCCACACTAAAGACGTGTTTTTAAAATGTGGGTGAAAAATAATTGAAAGCACGTTTGTTACAGCTTTATTTATAATGTTGAAAAACTTTAAAACAACCCATATGACCAAGCATAGCAGGGAACAGTGCAGTCAGCCTCTACAGCAGGTGGCCAAGAGGCTCTTTCCATGGTTCCGGGAAATGCTCGCGTGTAGTACCCAGTGGGAGTGGCAGGAGACAGCCCCGAGGCTACAGAATGAATTTGAGTGCTTTGGAAAAAGTACGTAATTATGCTTTGGAAAACACTGGAAGAAAATGCACCTAGAATGATATTTTTTTTCACCATTTTCTGTATGCTTCAGTTTTTATGCTGTAAGATTTTTTTTTTTTTTTGAGACGGAGTCTCGCTCTGTTGCCCAGGCTGGAGTGCAGTGGCACCATCTCAGCTCACTGCAAGCTCTGCCTCCCGGGTTTATGCCATTCTCCTGCCTCAGCCTCCCGAGTAGCTGGGACTACAGGCGCCTGCCACCACGCCCGGTTAATTTTTTTGTATTTTTAGTAGAGACGGGGTTTCACTGTGTTAGCCAGGATGGTCTTGATCTCTTGACCTCGTGATCCACCCCCTTCGGCCTCCCAAAGTGCTGGGATTACAGGCATGAGCCACCGCGCCCGGCCTTTATGCTGTAAGATTTTATTGTTCATAGAACCAAGAAAAAAATGAAAGACTGGGAATTTGGAAATTTGAGGTTTCTTCTATGCTTCTTGACCAGGTCACTTCTGATCTTAAGTGAAGCCACATGACTGTCGGGCAGAATCCTCCATAGTAGAAAGGAAGAGCTGTTATTTCTCTGCAGTGTGTCTTGGGTTTGAGGATGTTGTAGTTTGTGCAATGATGGTCTGCATCTCTAGAAGATTTTTCCTAACCAACTTTATGTGGATCAGCTGACTTTTCAGCTAGCTGCCAGCGTGCACACGTTTCTCTCTGTAATGTCTTCTATTTTGAGGTACTCTGTGCTTTACTGGAACTACTATCTGTTCTTGTATATTTCTAGGCAGGCTTTGCCAGCCAAAGGTGGGTGGAACATTTCTTGCATCAACATCAGAATAAGCTCGATCATGAACGATGGTTGAGGAAGGGAGCTGGGGCCATGGCTTGACTTTCCCATGGGACCGTGCAGGACAGAGCAGATGAATTCTCATCAGATGGCACTGCGTATGCTTGGTGACTGTGAGTTTTCATTTCCGGACAGCTGGATGACCCTCCTGTGCTGACGGCACACAGCCCCCGTAGCAGGAACATGTAGATAGAGTCCCATCCTGGAGCTGGATGACCCTCCTGTGGTCTCGGCACACAGCCCCCGTAGGAGGAGCATGTAGATAGAGTCCCATTCTGCAGCTGGATGACCCTCCTGTGGTCTTGGCACACAGACCCTCTAGCAGGAACTTGTAGATAGAGTCCCATCCTGTAGCTGGATGACCCTCCTGTGCTCATGGCACACAGCCCCTGTAGCAGGAACATGTAGATAGAGTCCGATCCTACAGTTGAATGACCCTCCTGTGCTCTTGGCACACAGACCCTGTAGCAGGAACTTGTAGATAGAGTCCCATTCTGCAGCTGGATGACCCTCCTGTGCTGACGGCACACAGGCACTGTAGCAGGAACTTGTAGATAGAGTCCCATCCTGCAGCTGGATGACCCTCCTGTGCTCACGGCACACAGCCCCTCTAGGAGGAGCATGTAGATAGAGTCCCATCCTGCAGCTGGATGACCCTCCTGTGCTGACGGCACACAGGCACTGTAGCAGGAACTTGTAGATAGAGTCCCATCCTGCAGCTGGATGACCCTCCTGTGCTCACGGCACACAGCCCCTCTAGGAGGAGCATGTAGATAGAGTCCCATCCTGCAGCTGGATGACCCTCCTGTGCTGACGGCACACAGGCACTGTAGCAGGAACTTGTAGATAGAGTCCCATCCTGTAGCTGGATGACCCTCCTGTGCTCTCGGCACACAGACCCTCTAGCAGGAACTTGTAGATAGAGTCCCATCCTGTAGCTGGATGACCCTCCTGTGCTCACGGTACACAGCCCCTCTAGGAGGAGCATGTAGATAGGGCCCCATCCTGGAGACTGTGGATGTTGCCATGCTCCTGGGTTTCTCGGTTGCCTCTTGGTGGTTCTATGATGGAGAAACGGCAGGGCCCAGCACCATGATGTGGGCAGCCACAGCGGCTGGACAGGGGCCACTGGACATTTAGGGAGATCCTGTGACACACAGGCTGTGGCCTTTCTCCGAGTCATGTGTGTGTGGCCCTCAGGGTAGTGGGAGAAAGAGAAGCTATGACATTTGGACTGAGGCGTGCATGGGTTTGCGGCTCAGTATAGAGTAATAGGTAGGGGTGGTGCAGAGCCGACGTCCTTTTGCGGGCCCCTGGAGCCCGTTCGTCCCAGGCAGGGGCTCTGGATTCTGGATCCCGTTCGTCCCAGGCGAGGGCTCTGGATTCTGGAGCCCGTTCGTCCCAAGCGGGGCCTCTGGATTCTGGAGCCTGTTCGTCCCAGGCGGGTGCTCTGGATTCTGGAGCCCATTCATCCCAGGCAGTGGGGGCTCTGGATTCTGGAGCCCATTCATCCCAGGCAGTGGGGGCTCTGGATTCTCATCTGGGTGTTGTGGTGCAGCATGCATGTGTGCTTGTGCAACTGTGTGCACTTGGAGCCACAGCCTCAAGCCTTGGTGTCTTCCTCTGGACAGTGGAGACATCAGCACGTGTGGTCCCAAAGTCCTCGTGGCCCTGTGTGTGCAGCAAGTCCAGCCCAGGGCAGCCACACCAAGGCTCCGGTGTCACCCTGTGATGGCCGCGGCACCCTGTCCTCTCTCTCCTGTGCCCCCACAGATGTTGCCGTCTCCTGCCTCTCGTGTCTTCCCCACATGTGTCCTTTGCCAGTGCTCCCTGCAGTTTCCCTTGTCTGGCCTGTGCTGCGTGGAGGGTGCACCTCTGAAGATCACGCAGTCCTCAGGGGGCCCTGGGATCAAAGGTGTGTCCACGGTTAGTGTGCTGAGGTCTCACTCTGTGCTTGTTGCTGGGACTAGAAGGGGAAATGAGGCAGAGTCTCTGCTCTTAGGCAGCGTGGAGCCCGCCCAGCCTGGTGTTATGGGGGTACCGGCTTCACAGTAGGATTTGGATTTGAATCCCAAATCTACTCAGTAAATAACTGTGCAACTTTCAGCTCTCCGAGGTGTGCAGTGGGGACGATCATGGTTCTGGCTCTGCAGGGCTGTTGGGAGACCGCACGAGAGGGTGATGCTGGTGTCAGGGCTCCGGCGGTCGACTTCGTGGGACATCATGGGGCTGTTGGGTGGGGGCGTGGTTTTGCATTTTGCTGACTATTAGAGCTTTTAAAAACCGGGGGAGCTTTAAAAGATCCGGGTGGTCAGGCCACACCTCTTGACAAATCAGAATTCAGGGAATGAGGCCAGTGTCAATATTTCTAAGACATGGCAGCTTTTCCCCCAGGTGGCCGTGGTAAGCTTTGGGAGCTGGGGGCCGAGCTTCTCAGCCTGTGTCAGCATCTCCTGGACATCCCGATGGACTGCAGATCACTCGCCCGGCCCACTTCCTGGTGCACTGGTCTGAGCATTGTCCTTTGAAAACCACCAGATGTCGGGGAAATAACGTTTGCTGTGGCGTCTGGGGCAGGAAAGGAGGAAGCGGAGCACAGGCCAAGCTCGGAGGATGGGGGATTTTGCTAGAAGGGTATTTAATAAGGTTTGCTGTGTTTCACACTGAGGGACGCATAATGGAACCCTGGGCACTGCAGAGCTGTGAAGTGCCCAGGAGACACCAAATTAACTTTCTCTTAGAGCTTTCACCTCAGTTTTCAACCACGTCTTCTCACTCCCAATTTCTAAAACTCCCAGGAGACCCGGAACCCTTCCAAATGGATGAAAATTCAGTCAGAGGTGTGAAGTTTTGGCCCTGCTGAGAACACTCAGGGTGTAAATAATGAACTTGGAAGGAGTTTTGACGGTGGCTTTACTGCGACTCTCCCCAGGCCAGGCTCGCCCTGGAGGGGGAGGTCTGGTGTTAACGCCCCTCACCGTGCGCTGACTGGGGCCGCGCATCCGCTGTGTTCCCGCAGGCCGAGGTAGCACCTTTGCTAATGAACTTGGAAGGAGTTTTGACGGTGGCTTTACTGTGACTCCCCCCAGGCCAGGCTCGCCCTGGAGCGGGAGTTTTGGTGTTAACGCCCCTCACCGTGTGCTGACTGGGGCCGCGCATCCGCTGTGGTCCCGCAGGCCGAGGTAGCACCTTTGCTAATGAACTTGGAAGGAGTTTTGACGGTGGCTTTACTGTGACTCCCCCCAGGCCAGGCTCGCCCTGGAGAGGGAGGTTTGGTGGTAACGCCCCTCACCGTGTGCTGACTGGGGCCGCGCATCCGCTGTGGTCCCGCAGGCCGAGGTAGCACCTTTGCTTTCAGGGCTAGTGGTGTCTGCTTATCAAGGCCAGGGTAGACACCTGCCCGCTGGAAGTGTCCAGAGACATTGCACCCGAGATGCTGAGGAGCCCTGGGAGGGACACGGTTTCTTCTCATTGGGGATTCTGGGGATGTTCATTGGAGTTAGGAGGAATGCAGAGCGTGGATACTGTGCAAACAGATAAGGACGCTTTCAGGAAATAAGCATCAGGAAAGGGGTCAGAAGACTCAGCCTGGATTCTTGGTGGCTCATCAGATTCATAGCAAACCACAAACACTGAATCCACCCTGCGTGCGCCATTGCTGTGTAGACGTATGATGGACCCTCCTTGGATATTAATTCAAACAAATTAACTACAAGATGACTTTTTTTTTAATTAATGGAATTTAGCACTGACCGGATACTAGAACATTATTAAAGACCAGTTGCTGTTAACTAATGTTGCTGGTGTGATACTGGGTTTGTGATGACATTTTTTAAAGCCCTCATGTGGGTGAGTTGTGGTGATCCTGGTGCTGTGGGAGATGGAGGCGGGGGAATCATTGAGCCCAGGAGGTGGAGGCTGCAGTGAGTCGTGATTGTGTCACCGCCGTCCAGCCTGGGCAACAGAGTAAGACCCCGTCTCCCCTAAATAAAATAAAATGAGATAAGTCCTCATTTGCTAGAGATACACAGAATATGGTGTAGTAGATTTTCTCTAACTGACTCCACCCTCAACCCTGGAAAACAGGGAGGGGTGGCAGGGGAGACGGATGGAGTGAAACATGAGCCACTGCAGAGTGATGGGTGGCCATGGCCGATGGCGTCCGTGCCGTTATCTTCTCTGCGGAGCAATGGGGGGCCGTGGCCGATGGCATCCGTGCCGTTATGTTCTCCGCAGAGCGATGGGGGGCCATGGCCGATGGCATCCGTGCCGTTATGTTCTCTGCAGAGCAATGGGGGGCCATTGCCGATGGCGTCCGTGCCATTATGTTCTCTGCAGAGCGATGGGGGGCCGTGGCCGATGGCGTCCGTGCTGTTATGTTCTCTGCAGAGCAATGGGTGGCTGTGGCCAATGGCGTCCATGCTGTTATCTTCTCTGCAGAGCGATGGGTGGCTGTGGCTGATGGCATCCGTGCCATTATCTTCTCTGTGGAGCAATGGGGGGCCGTGGCCGATGGCATCCGTGCCGTTACGTTCTCTGCAGAGCGATGGGGGGCCATTGCCAATGGCGTCCGTGCCATTATGTTCTCTGCAGAGTGATGGGGGGCTGTGGCTGATGGCGTCCATGCCGTTATCTTCTCTGAAGAGTGATGGGTGGCTGTTGTCTTCTCCGCAGATTGATGGGGGGCCGTGGCCGATGGCGTCCATGTCGTTGTCTTCTCTGCAGAGCGATGGGGGGCTGTGGCTGATGGCGTCCATGCTGTTATGTTCTCTGCAGAGCAATGGGTGGCCGTGGCCGATGGCGTCCATGCCGTTATCTTCTTTGTAGAGCGATGGGTGGCCATGGCCAATGGCGTCCATGCTGTTATGTTCTCTGCAGAGCAATGGGTGGCCATGGCCGATGGCATCCGTGCTGTTATGTTCTCTGCAGAGCAATGGGTGGCCGTGGCCGATGGCATCTGTGCCGTTATGTTCTCTGCAGAGTAATGGGTGGCCATGGCCGATGGCGTCCATGCCGTTGTCTTCTCTGCAGAGCGATGGGTGGCCATGGCCGATGGCGTCCATGCCGTTGTCTTCTCTGCAGAGCGATGGGTGGCCGTGGCCGATGGCGTCCGTGCCGTTGTCTTCTCTGCAGAGCGATGGGTGGCCGTGGCCGATGGCGTCCGTGCCGTTGTCTTCTCTGCAGAGCGATGGGTGGCCGTGGCCGATGGCGTCCGTGCCGTTGTCTTCTCTGCAGAGCGATGGGTGGCCGTGGCCGATGGCGTCCGTGCCGTTGTCTTCTCTGCAGAGCGATGGGTGGCCGTGGCCGATGGCGTCCGTGCCGTTGTCTTCTCTGCAGAGCGATGGGTGGCCGTGGCCGATGGCGTCCGTGCCGTTGTCTTCTCTGCAGAGCGATGGGTGGCCGTGGCCGATGGCGTCCGTGCCGTTGTCTTCTCTGCAGAGCGATGGGTGGCCGTGGCCGATGGCGTCCGTGCCGTTGTCTTCTCTGCAGAGCGATGGGTGGCCGTGGCCGATGGCGTCCGTGCCGTTGTCTTCTCTGCAGAGCGATGGGTGGCCGTGGCCGATGGCGTCCGTGCCGTTATCTTCTCTGCTTTCGTGTATGTTTGAACATTTCTATAATAAAAACTTAAGTGAAAAGCTTACTGTGCTGGCTGCCTGGAGGTGTGGTGTTTCTGTTCATTTTGTTTTTAGGGTGGGAAGTAGTGGGATTGGGGGTCCATGGGGGCCATTTCTTGGGTTTTCCTGAAGTGGGTTCTGTGCTTGGCATCATGAAGCAAGTGGAGCGTGTGTTTGCTCCATGCCTGTGGGCTGCGTGGAGGCAGCCTGACAAACACATTTCGAGGGGCCCCCGGGGGGTCGCTGAGGCTGTGTATGTCTGTTCCATGCAACAGCCGTCATCTCTGTTTTTGAACACATTGACAGTGTGTAGTCTGCTTGGGGGGATGTTCGAGGTCAACAGAGTGGCCAAAAGAGGCTCTCTCGTCATTGCAATGATCCACACTCCACTCTGCTGTCACTGAACCTGCCCCCAAGCCTGCACCCTCTTCATCTCTTCTTTGTCTATAGCAACCATCCCCAATCCTGACATCAGTGATTGTGTGTGTTGTGTCTTGTCTGTCCTCCATAGCAACCATCCCCAATCCTGACATTGGTGATTGTGTGCGTTGTGTCTTGTCTGTCCTCTGTAGCAACCGTCCCCAATCCTCACATCAGTGATTGTGTGTGTTGTGTCTTGTCTGTCCTCCATAACAACTGTCCCCAATCCTCACATCAGTGATTGTGTGTGTTGTATCTTGTCTGTCCTCTGTAGCAACCGTCCCCAATCCTCACATCAGTGATTGTGTGTGTTGTGTCTTGTCTGTCCTCCATAACAACTGTCCCCAATCCTCACATCAGTGATTGTGTGTGTTGTGTCTTGTCTGTCCTCTGTAGCAACCGTCCCCAATCCTCACATCAGTGATTGTGTGTGTTGTGTCTTGTCTGTCCTCCATAACAACTGTCCCCAATCCTCACATCAGTGATTGTGTGCGTTGTGTCTTGTCTGTCCTCTGTAGCAACCATCCCCAATCCTCACATCAGTGATTGTGTGCGTTGTGTCTTGTCTGTCCTCCATAGCAACCATCCCCAATCCTGACATCGGTGATTGTGTGCGTTGTGTCTTGTCTGTCCTCCATAGCAACCATCCCCAATCCTGACATCGGTGATTGTGTGCGTTGTGTCTTGTCTGTCCTCCATAGCAACCATCCCCAATCCTGACATCGGTGATTGTGTGCGTTGTGTCTTGTCTGTCCTCCATAGCAACCGTCCCCAGTCCTGACATCGGTGATTGTGTGTGTCTTGTCTGTCCTCCATAGCAACCGTCCCCAATCCTGACATCGGTGATTGTGTGCATTGTGTCTTGTCTGTCCCCACCTAGAATGTGAGTTTCATAGGAGGAGACTTGTCTGCTTTGCTGAGTTTCTAAGTGTCTCCGTCGGTTCCCTGCACATGGTCAGTGCACAACAAATGTCAGTTGAATGCTTAGTACTTAGGAGACATGAGGCTTTCAATTTTCCTCAGTTAATTTGTGTGACAGTAATGCATATATATGGTTCACTTAAAAGCCGAGTAATATAGGGCTTAAAATAAGAAGCAACAGATCCTGCCCCTCTTTCCTGAGCTCACCCAGGGGCAACAGTAGCCTCTCCCACGTTGAGGTCCTGCGGCAGCTGCCACTTTTCCATATGGTTCCACACCATCTCATCAGGAGTTGACTCAGTCCTCCTCTGTGTAGCCCCTGTGGTGCCCCCTGCACTGTAGGGTGAGGACTGTTCTCTTTCAATTCCCCTATGTCCAGGCTGTGTTAGCCAACCCTGTGGTGCCCCCTGCACCGTACGGTGAGGACTGTCCTCTTTCAATTCCCCTACATCCAGGCTGTGTTAGCCAACCCTGTGGTGCCCCCTGCACCATACGGTGAGGACTGTCCTCTTTCAATTCCCCTACGTCCAGGCTGTGTTAGCCAACCCTGTGGTGCCCCCTG
The DNA here is from genome assembly GCF_000001405.40 of Homo sapiens. Classification (NCBI taxonomy): domain Eukaryota; kingdom Metazoa; phylum Chordata; class Mammalia; order Primates; family Hominidae; genus Homo; species Homo sapiens. Next base: position 23,920 of record NT_187560.1, read on the forward strand.
CACCGTACGGTGAGGACTGTCCTCTTTCAATTCCCCTACGTCCAGGCTGTGTTAGCCAACCCTGTGGTGCCCCCTGCACCGTACGGTGAGGACTGTCCTCTTTCAATTCCCCTATGTCCAGGCTGTGTTAGCCAACCCTGTGGTGCCCCCTGCACCGTACGGTGAGGACTGTCCTCTTTCAATTCCCCTACGTCCAGGCTGTGTTAGCCAACATTTAGTTTTCACACTGTCAAGTTAAAAGCATCATGCCCAGCCCTGCAGCTGCAGTGATGGGTGGATCCTCGGGGTGCTCCCTGTGTTGCAGCTGTACCAGCGTTGATTGCAGACAAGCCGAGTGGGGCCCTCTGTGCCCCTGAGCCACGGGGCAACAGAGTAAGACCCCGTGTTACTCTGGAGGAGAAGACTCTTTGTGCAGTTCCAAGAGATGCTCCTGCTTCATCCTGCAACAGCCGCCCCAAATGTGCCACTTCTAACTGTGGTGTTGGGACTTTCTCTTCTTGCATAGTTTTTCTTTGTGTTTCCCAAAGGTTCTGGTCACTTCCTTTCCTTTGTGTCTCCCTCCTCATCCCCTCCTGACCTCACTCACTCCACCTGTCTTATCGAGCCCCCCAAGCCCAGAGGTGTCCGCTGGAATCCTGGCTCTCCAGCCCAAGGTCACCTTGAGATGCCACAGTCTGTGAGTGGGAGGGGAAATCGGTGGGGTGGCAGGAGGCCGCCCGGGACAAGGTTGCAGGGGCAGGTGCGTGGCGTGCTCAGAGCTCCTGGGTGAACCAGGGAGAATGGGGAAGGCCTTGAGGAGCCTGGCGACGGTGAACCCGGCAGGTCCATGGTCTCCACTGGGAGATGGGGAGGACCCGCTGGGCAGGGGAGACAGTGCTTCTGGGTGAGAAGGTTTAATTCTGTAAGGATATGAATTCTCTCTGAATAAACCTATACATGTAAGTTATCACAACAGCATATTAACAATTTTTTTTGAAATTAAACGAACTAGCTTTAAAGTCCAGGTTCAGACACAAACATGAGACTAAACAGAAAAGTTATGAAAAAGAAAGTTGTGTGTGGGGCGTTGAGTCTTGCACACTCAGTGCTTTGCAGTGATGGGACACTTAAGCCAGAGTGGGGAACAGACGGGCAGATTGAAGGGAAAGAATAGAAAGTCTAGAAATAGACCCAAATGCGTATGGGTATTTGGTATATGATAATGATGACATTTTAAATCGGTGGGGAAAAGATGTATTATTCAGTAATGATTTGGGGACAACTGGCCAGACATTTGGAAAATACATAGCTGGGTCCCTCCCAAACTCCTTACCCCAAAATAAAATCCAGATGGCACAGAGACTTAAAAATATAATGGAATTTTACAAGTACTGGAAGAAAACGTGGGGGAATTTTTAATAATTTTGCGATGGAATTAATTTTTTTAAGGAAGACAGCCCAATATCTAAGGAAATTAAAATTCACATAACTTTAACTCACCAGCCTGACTCCTGGGAAGTTATGTGATGGATGTTCAGGCCTGGGTGTAAAGAACCAAATGCGCAATGATTCTGTGAAACATTATCATAGGAAAAAACCGCGAGCGTTCTAAACACCCTTCAAGTTGTGGTTCATCTTCAAGACGGAGTTAGGTAGATGGGCTGACACAGAAGGACCTCAAGACATTTTGAAATAAAAAAGGAAGATGAGAACAGCTGGAATCCATATTAGAAGAAGATGAACCTGGACCGAATTTCTTTCGGAGACACCAACTCCTGTGCTCATGGGTGTGAAAGGCAAGACTATAAAGGTTTTCAACTGAGAATATAATGTTTCATGACTTTAGGGCGGAGAGGAAGGTTTTGAGACAGGACACAAAGAGTGCTAATTGCAAAGGAAATTACTGATAATTTCAACTATATTAAAATCAAGAATAACTCTTAGTAAAAAAGACACCGTAAAGAGAATTAATTAAAAGACAAGCCACAGAATGGGAGACAATATTTTCAACACATGTAAATGACATGTAACCGACAAAGATCTCACGTTCAAAACAGAGAGGACCCTGACAAATCACTGAGAACAAGGCAACGAAGGAAACATTTGCAAAACATTTCAGAAGTTCTAAGGAGAAAATTCAAATGACTGAGAAATACGTAAAATGGTCTTCAACCTAATTATTAAATTGGAGTGATGAAGACGGAAGCCGTATGAAATTCAGCAGCTCCCCTACTAGACGGGCAAAAACCGGAAGCACCAGCTCCAGGTGCAGCTGCGACGTGGGGCGGGGAGTTCCTGGAAGCACCTGGCTGTGATACACAACCTCTGAGCTCCTCGGGGGCTTGGACAGCAGGTGGGCAGGTGTGCTGGAATGTGGAGAGGTGTGTTTGCTGCGGCTGAGGTTTCGCTCCTTGCCCTCCACGCAGCAGAAGCACACGTACGCCTGGTCAGGGAGATGCGCAAGGAAGCGCGTAGGTGGCATCGTTTACAGTCTCCCCAGGCTGGACGTGACCCACATGCACTTTGGTGGTGGAGGAGAGGAAGATTATTTTATTTTCATACAATGGAACAGTGGAATTTAGCCATGACGGGGCGACTCGGATCATCTCACAGACATGAAGCTGAGTGAAAGAAGGAAGGTGTGAAAGACGACAGGCCCTGTGAATCTGGTGCAGAGGCAGGCGCGGCCGTGAGCACAGCTTCCATCAAGTCGGCGGTGGCTCCCCATGAAGGTGCAGCAGGGGTGGGGGTTCCAGCTGCTGGCGGGACTATTTCTTGAGTGCTGTTTGGATGAATATTCACTTAATATTGTTTGCTATACGATGCGTTTTTGTGCGCATTTCTCTATTATATCTATGAGGTTAAAAAAAGCAAGAATGAATCTCAGTTGTGTTTCACCAGTGTGTGTGTATGTGTCCTTGTGTGTGGGAAGACATTCTCTGAGGCAGCGGTTATGGACTGAATGTGTCTCATTGAACTCAGTGTGTAGAAGGCCAAACCCCCAGGGGATGGTGCTGGGAGGAGAGGCCTTTGGGCCGTGATTGAGTTAGATCACCCGTGAGGGTGGGGCTCCCACGATGGGATAGGTGGCCTTTGGGCGGTGATTGGGTTAGATGGGGTCTTGAGGGCAGGGCTTCCGTGAAGGGACCAGTGCTCTCGTAAGAAGAGGAAGAGTCCTCTCTCCTCCATGTAAGGACGCGGTGAGAAGCCAGGCGGAGGCCATCACCAGAGCAGACTGTGCTGGCACCCCCATCCCAGACTTCCAGCCTCCAGACCATGAGGACGTTTCTGTGTGAGTCACCCAGTCTGTGGCACCACGGCATCCTCACCAGGTTCATCTGTGCTGTGGCCACCTTGGATTCGTCTGTACTACAGCAACGTTTTGTGTTGTAGCTTTGCCTTTGCTTAACTTTGTAAACCAAATATTTTAGGAAGAAAAAGAGGTTTAGTGTTCCTGTTTGCCAGGAAAATCACAAGGGATTATGCGATTGTGAATGAACTAAGGGTCACCAGTGCAGGGGCTGCGGGAAACTGATGTGTGACATGCTCTCCACTCATCCTGGCTCCATTACCACACTGAAGTGGCATCCATGAGTTTGGAAATCACTAAGGCAAAGAAGTAAGGGCTGAACTCCTCCAAATGTTCCTGACTATGAATTAAGCCTCACGGGTTCACTTCTGCCTGTTGGTGTTTGGTCTCGGCCCGCGCTATGTGTCTTGCTTCTGCCTGTTGGTGTTTGTTTGGACTCGGCCCGCGCTGTGTGTCTTGCTTCTGCCTATTGGTGTTTGTTTGGACTCAGACTGCGCTGTGTGTCTTGCTGTTGTGGGAATCTGTGCATCGTCCTCTCTTGGTGACTCCTGAGCCAAGGCTGACACTCCACTCTTCGAGCAAACTGAACTATAGCATGATTGTATCTGCTGCTGCTCCGGGAGGGCCCTGTGGGCCGACCACCCTCACCTGCCCTTGGGCCAGCCCTTGCTTCCTCTGGAAGCTTCTTGAGCTTGAGTTGTGGGATTGACATGTACCTGGAATTGTTGGTTTTGGTATCTGTCATTGGAGACACCATCCCTACCCCACGCATGACCTGGGAGAAAACGGACTTTGACGTTTGATTGTTTTCAGTGTTCACTGGGAGGGAAGAGAAGTCAGGATTACTTTTCCTCTGGTGTGAAAGTCCCTGGACCCTAAACACACCCTGTTGTCCACAGGTGGTGCCGAGTCCCACAAAGGAACCTGGAATCCAGCTGAGTGGGCACGTGCTGCCTGTCACGGCCCTTCATGTCCTGAACATCTGTTGAGAGGAGGCGGGGGTGTCACCTTAATTCCATCTTGGACACCACAGTGACACAAAGTGCAAAGTGCCGTGCCCCTCATCCCCACAGATATGTGGCATCCCACTGGTCTCCTAACCACCCAACGCCGTTGCTCCTGACCATTGGAAACGCTGGTGGGGCTGGAGCACCTGGACAGTCCAGTCTCGTTCTAGTGGCTGGACTGGAGTGGGGTTGCCTTGAACCCGTCTTAGGCTGGAAATGCCCCCAGCAGCAGTGCCAGGGGAACTCTCACTGGGGCCTGCCCTGGGAGCCCCGGGGAACACTTGTCAGTTCAGCTCTGACCTTAAGGTGGGACTGCCCCATGCCCTTGGCCCAGGAGTGGGAGCTGCAGGAGGAGCCCCTCATGCTACGGCCCTCCCGCTGAGGGGCTCCCCTGGGGGCCTCAAATTCAGCATCAGGCGCCAGTGAAGACTCAGCTCCTCTGGAGGGGACCCCCTCCCCACCCCACCCTCCTGCACTGCAGCGCTGCCCAGACCTGGGTCTGCGGAGACTTCTGTTTGCCTCTGGCCTGATGAAAGCAGTGTGGAAACCAACCTCCCTCCTCCTCCCCAGATCTCTTCTCTTTTTGGGGGGTTTTCATGCTAACTTACTATTTTCTCTAATTAAGAAGCAATACATGGCTATTATGAAACATTTAGAAAATGTATAATAAATACTAAAATAATGTTACCGTTCTGATTTATATCCTTCCAAGTCCACTTCTCTCTGTGTTCTAAGGATGATTCTCAGACACCCAGCCTGCTCCTGTGTCTGGGCCACTCTGCTGGGGGCATGTTGTTGCCGACCTGGCCTGTGGCCTTCCCTGTGAGATTCATCCTGGGAGTGGTCCCAGAAAGCAGCCCTGGCGGTGGAGTGGCTGGAGTGGGGCACGCCATGCTGGGCTTGGCTTCACCCTCAGCAGTGAGGCCCTCTTGCTGCCCTGCTGAGTCGGCACCTGGCCTGGCCCAGCATCCTCGGGCTGACGATGATGCCGGGCTGAGGGCCTGTGTCCTGCTGGCATTTGCCCTGTGCCGTGTGGCTGGGTAGCATGGCCAGGAGCCGGGGTGGGGCAAGACCGTGGCTTGTCATTTCCAACCCTCTGAGGCCCCTTTGTGGATGGCAGCAGGGGCTTCAGCACTGCCCCCGCTCTCGGCTCTGCTGGTGCTCGTACCCCGGCACCTGCGCAGAGAGGTCAGCTCCCTGGCTACGGGGCAGCCTTCGTCTTCACTGCCCGCTTGGCTAACAGCTTGACGCAGCCCACCACTGGCCCAGGCCTTGGAGGGATGTTTGCTTTCCAGGGGCCTGGCAGGACGCAAGGCAGGCCGGGTACCCGTGCAGGTGGCTTTGTTTCCTGGAGAGGTGGGGAAGAGGCTCTGGCAGCGGGAGCAAGCTGGGCGGGTCGGCCTTATCGGGCCGCGTGGGCAGCATGTGTGGCTGAGCCACCGGGCTCCCTGGGGCCCTGCTGCTTCTGGGCTGCCCAGCTGGGCAGGTGGTGCCGCCCTGGCCTGAGTCCGTCAGGGCCTAATTATGGAGACGGGTCTTGTGCTCTGTAGTGGTTATTAGCTGCCTTCCTCTTTTTTTTTGGTGCCAAAGAATTCCATTTGGGGAATTTATACAGCCAATTAGGTATTTAGCTCAAGGCAATTAATGGCTGGAATGCAAGCATTAGCTAAAACCTAAATTGGAATTCATACATCCACGCTTTTGCTTAACGGTGGAGGCTGCAGGGAGGCACCGAGTGTTGTCTGGGGAGCTAGGAGAGGCTGCCCAGGCCCAGAGAGGAACTCCAGATTGGCTGTGGATTCATGGCTCTGTCCTTGCTTGGGAAGGAATGTTTCAGTGTTTCAGAGCAAAAATTTTAAATCTGTTTGACAATCAGAGGCCATCCTGGTCCTGCCTGGAGCTGCTGTTGGCCTGCCCCACCTGGCATCCTAGCTGCGTCCTTACTGGGCACGTATGTCACCGCCTTCATCTCTTTCAAAGCCACCCGTGGGCTTCTGGTCATATTGTGATGACCCTCGAAAGTGACGGATGCCGTGAGGCCGTGGGAACAGGAGCTAGGAGGCTGCAGGCCGGCCGCCTTCAGTCCACAGAAGCCAGATTTGAGGTGGGTTCCGGATGTCATGGGTGCCCTGGACAGGTGGCTGTGTGACAGCCCAGCGTGCCTGATGGTGGACAGAGGCTGGGGCTGCCATGGGGCTGGGCTTCTCCCCAGACAGGGAGCAGTGGAGAATTCTCACCAAAAATCCAGATAGATGAAACCAAACAACAAAACTTACTGCTTTTCTCATCAACCAAGTAATCTCTGAGGAAATTACACCAGGGACCATTGGATTTTCAAGCTGCTCCGTGTGTCCATGGCAGCCCAGGCAGGGTCCAGGTGGGGTCTGCCCGCCGGGGGCGGCTGTGGCCCAGGCAGAGTCCGGGTGGGGTCTGCCCGCTGGGGGTGGCTGTGGCTCGGGTGGGTCTCCGTGTGTCCATTGCAGAGCCTGGGTGGGGCCTGCCTGCCGGGGGCAGCTGTGGCTTGGGTGGGGCTCCAGCTCTCACGACAGACTCCATCGTGAGTGGGCCCAGCGTGGTCCGACCACAGCAACACCTCATACTGGCCTGGGAATTTCCACATTAAAATATAGTTGAAAGTATTCAATTTAATGTAAAATTAAAATGTACTTTTTCTTACCTATAGCTTATAGATTGGGGGTAATTTTTCTCTGTCTCTCACACATTCAGGCACACACCCACCCCATAAACAGTCCCTCAACCTCTAAGTGGTTTGCAAGGACAGAATGTGCCCAGGAAGACCTGGGGCGAGCTGGGAATCCGGACTTTGGGCAACTGTGTGTTGGTGGGCTGGGTGGGGCAGGAGCCTGGGGTGCTGGGGCACCAGGGTTTACCTGCCCACGCTGAGTGTCCTGGGTTCTCACGTGTCCTGAGTTCTCACGTGGGGTGGTCCGAAGGCTCACCTGGGCGCCCGGGTTTACCTGCTCATGCTGAGTGTCCTGGCTTCTCACATGCGGTGGTCCGAGGGCTCACCTGGGCGCCGGGGTTTACCTTCTCACATGGGGTGGTCTGAGGGCTGACCCGGAGGCTTCTGAGCACTGACATGGTCTTGCCAGTGTCCACTGATGATGCGTCTGCTGCTCTGTGGCTCACGGGGACAGGAGGAGGTGGGAGCAGGAGCCATCTGGGGCAAAGGAGGGACAGGCTGACTTGGGGCAGAGCGCCCTCTCAGGGTCTCCTGGCCCCACCAGGCAGCATAGACCCCAAGATGCGGCAGGAAGCTGTTCCCTTGATGAGCAGCAGGCGGCTGTCTGCGTTCAGCCCTGCACCTTTGCCCACTCATTGTTGGAGGACGGCCCCGTTATGGGCTGGGGCAGAGGCGAGGGGTGGGTGGAGATTAGGGCCAGACGAACCTGAAGGCCCTCCAGAGCCTCTGACCTGTTCCCGAGAGGCCGCGGGGTCACTGGTCCGGCTCAGGCTCTGCCAAGGAGCCTCCTTGGGGTTTCTGGCGCCTGCACTCAGGGACGGCACCACCTGCGATGGAGGCTGCTGTGCAGTGTAGAGTGTGGTGGAAACTCCCTGCCTGGGTTGCAGACGGGGGGATTTAATTAGGGAAGGGATCCAGGGTGAGGACAGTCAGGGCAGAGGTGAGCAGGTGGGGGCGCTTGGCTCTTCCTTTGGTGGTGAGAACAAGCTCAGGGCCGAGTCAGCCACACAAGGCTTCAGGCTGTGCAGATAAGGAAGGGCTGGCCAGCCTCGGGGACAGGGCAGTGGGGCTGAGGGGCTGTGTCACCCAGGGCCTGCCCCCTCTGGAGACAAAGCCCTGAGGCTGGGACATGCCTGGGAGGAGGCTCTTGCCCAGCGAGGGTGAAGGGCATCCAGCTCTCCCCAGCCCTCCTGGTTAAGCCCAGCTCAGGCCCTTTTGGGGAGAAGTCACGGTGGCAGGTCTCACGGTCCACACGCTGTGGTGGGCTTGCTGCTGTGCAGAGGGCCGTGGTCTGGCATGGTGCCCCGCCGGGTGCGGCCGCGTTTTCAAGAGGATGCAGGGGGAGAATTGTTGATGAAAGAGAGCGGGCCCTGAGCAATGAACTTGGGGTGTAAGCTGCACAGCAGTGAGGGGACACTGGGGGCTTTCTTGGGATCCCAAAAATGGCCGTAGGAGAGGACCTGGCTTCTGTGCATGTGACGCAGGCCCTGTGGGTCTTGGGGTCTGTGAGGAGCACTGAGGACGAGGAAAGGGAGACAGGCTGAGGCCATCTCGGTTGGATTCCACAGGAAAGGCCGCAGCCAGTTTTCCTGAGACGTTCTGGCGAGCAGCTGCACGGTCCGAGGCTTTCACTTGCTTTTCATTTTAGGCTCACTCTGGGTCTAGGGGGGTCTTGGTGCTGTGTCTAAGCTGCTCTAACAGGGTTTTGGCCTGGGACTCTGAGGCTCGGCCTCTTCTCACACAGGTGGTAGAGAGATTCCTGCCCCCAGCCGGGAGGGCAGCGTCAGGTTTATCAAACTGACGTTTGCAGCAGGTGTGGAGATTTTGAGTGAAGTCAAATCAGGTTTTCAGGGAGAAACAAACACTGGCCGTGGGTGGGGACTTGGGGACCCAGTGGGGCTGCAACAGGGGAGGAGGCGCCTGGGCGCTGGGGCTCACGGCCGGCTGGGGCTCACCTCAGCTTCCCGAGCACAGTCTGTGATGGCACTGGCGTGGCCTGGCCTCTCCAGGACCTGTTAGGAGGTGACGGTGGACAGGCCTGTGAACATTCCGCTCTTGCTGGAGCCAGGCGAGGCTGCCGGAGGGGTGCTGGGCTGCAGCATCCCTGGGGCAGGTGCCTGTCTCCCTGCCTGTTGGAGGGGTGAGTGGCAGTGCCCACAGGCCCCCTCCCTTCTCTAGCACCTCCCCGTGCAGTGGGAGAGGGCAGGACCCTGACTGAACAGGGCCATCCTGAAAGGAGGAGAAGGTGCTGCTGGAATGACACCCAGAGACGGGTATGAGCCCAGACACCCAGGACTTGGGGTAGGCCAGAGATGGGTGTGAGCCCAGACACCCAGGACTCGGGGTAGGGTGCCACATGGGAGCAGCTCTGCCCCTGGCCGTCCCAGGCAGCCCCGTTGCTGGTGGCCAACAGTCCACTCTGACACCGTCACCCAGACAAGGACCCCCAGAGCCTCACATGGTAGAGGAAGCTCCTGTGTGATTCACCTGCTGGCCACAGGCCTTGGAACCCTCCCTGCTGAGTCTTACTTTTAGGAAGGACCTCATGGGCACCCCTGGTAGGAAGAGGTGGCTCGCCCAGGTGGGGACAAGCAGCTCGCACGCTTGGCAGGAAGATTTGCCCCACGCCGCTCCCCCATCAGGAAGATTTGCTCCACGCTGCTCCCCCTGTTGGGAGGAGTCGCCCCACGCCGCTCCTCCTGCTTCCTCCCCTCCCTGAGGCATCCTGGTAGCCAGGGCAGCCCAGGATTCAACCTAAGAGCTGCATAGCGTGACTGACCAGGCGGCGGGCAGCCCCCAACTCTTACAGACCCGTCAGTGGGGAAACAGTCTCGTCAGTTCTCCGTTGATTCATTTTAGCCTTTACCCAGAAGTCAAGTTTGTCTGCTGATTTGATATAAACCTACCCTTGGATTTCCGGCAACTCAGGCAAGAGGTGGCAACTTCGGAGCCTTCTGTGCCTTCGGGGAGAAGCCATGCCTGGCGCTGCCCTGGAGCCGCGGGAGCCGCTGGGCTGAGCCACGGAAGATGGGCTTGGAGCGTCCTCCGCAGCCTCCGCTCCTGCCTCTGCCCACAAAGACCCGCTCGCCCAGTGACCTGTGGCCACCTAGTGGGAACAAGACATTTGCAATGTGCTTGTTGACCAGGTTAAGAGTCATTCTGGTTTAAAGGGAACAAAAAAGGTGTTTTTTTGCTTTTTTTTTTTTTTTTAATACTTATTTGTGTTCCTGAAAAGGCTTCTGTCTGCTTTAGTACCGTCTTTCTAGGCCAAAGACTATGCTCTAGATTTATAAATATTTCTTTTAACTCACTAATGTGCTCATTTGCTTGGAGGCCCTGTCCTCCTCTTGTCCGTAAGGCAAGAATGGTGGCAGGAGATAAAATCTGTTTTAACTTCTCCAAAAATGGAAACGTGTCATTTTATTTTCTGACAAAAAAGGAAACATACATTCCCTTCCGTGCCTTTTTCATATGCATGTTTCCTGTAACTAGAATTAAAGCACACAGGAGAAAAGGAAGCAGGCGGAACGCTGCATGGCTGGGTGGTGCAGAAGGGTACAAGCCACAAAATCAGAATCACCTCCTTACGATCCTAAAGCCCCAAAATAATCATGGTGAAGAACATTCGGGTAAATGTCTGTTTAGATGCTCTTCTGGGCACACACATAACAAAAATGGAATCCTGTAGTTCTGCAAATTTTTCTTATCACTTACCAAATCTCTTACTCCTGAATGCTGAGTGGGCTTCCACTGTTGAATACTGATACGTAGCATCCATGGCATGCAGGTGCCATTATCTAGTGAACCAACCCTCTAGTGGAGAAAAGGTAGGTTGCAGTGTTTCTTCATCATGCAGATGATAACCATGAATAGGTAACTGGTCACTTTCAGCTCTCGTACGTTTGCACATAGAGAATACCATGCATTTCAGGGTTCTCAGGCTCAGCTTCTTTACACATTGTATGATGACATTCTCAGCTCATCTTTGCTCTCAGATTTTTAACCATGTCAGGTAATCAGAGAATGATTTCCTTGCTGCCACCATCACCACTGCCATGACCATTACTATCACCATCACCACCACTGCCACCATTGCCATCACCATCACCACCACTGCCACCACCATCACTATCACCACCACCACCACTGCCGTGACCATCACTATCACCATCACCACCACTGCCACCACTGCCATCACCATCACCACCACTGTCACCACCATCACTATCACCATCACTATCACCACCACTGCCATGACCATCACTATCACCACCACCACCACTGCCATGACCATCACTATCACTATCACCACCACCACTGCCATGACCATCACTATCACCATCACCACCACTGCCATGACCATCACTATCACTATCACCACCACTGCCATGACCATCACTATCACCATCACCACCACTGCCATGACCATCACTATCACCATCACCACCACTGCCATGACCATCACTATCACCATCACCACCACTGCCATGACCATCACTATCACTATCACCACCACTGCCATCACCATCGCTATCACCATCACCACCACTGCCACCATTGCCATCACCACCACCATCACTGATCACCATCACCATCACCATCACCACCATTGCCATCACCATCACTATCACCACCACCACCACTGCCATCACCATCACTATCACCACCACCACCACTGCCATCACCATCACTATCACTATCACTGCCATCACCATCACTATTACCATCACCACCACTGCCACCACTGCCATCACCATCACTATCACCATCACCACCACTGCCATGACCATCACTATCACCACCACTGCCACCACTGCCATCACCATCACTATCACCATCACCACCACTACCATGACCATCATTATCACCACCACCACCACTGCCACCACTGCCATCACCATCACCACCATCACTGATCACCATCACCATCACCTTCATTGCCATCACCATTACTATCACCATCACCACCACCACCATCACCATCACTATCACCATCACCATCACCATCACCTTCATTGCCATCACCATTACTATCACCATCACCACCACCACCATCACCATCACTATCACCACCACTGCCACCACTGCTATCACCATCACTATCACCACCATCACTACCACTGCCATCACCACTATCACCATCACCATCACTACCACCCCTATCACTACCACCAGCACCACCATCACTACCACCCCCATCACTACCACCATCACTACTACCACTGTCACCACCACCACGACTACCACCACCCCCATCACTGCCATCACCACCACCACTACCACCAACACCACTACTACCCCATCACCATCATCACCACCACCATCACCACTATCACTACCATCATCATCACCGTCACCACCACCACCTTCACCACCACCACCAATACCACTGCCCCCACCACCACCCCCGTCACTGCCATCACCACCACCACCACTACTACTACCACCATCACCACTACCACCCCCATCACCATCACCACTATCACTAACATCACCACCACCACTGTCACCACCACTGTCATCATCACCACCACCTTCACCACTACTATCCACCCCTATCACCATCACCACCACCACCACCCTGTCACTATCACTACCACCATCACTACTGCCACCATCATCACCACGACCACCTCCATCACCAGTATTACCACCATCACCACCACCATTGTTACCACTATCATTATCACCACCACCGCCGCCACTGCCACCACCACCATCATTACCACATCACCACTATCACCCCTATTACCATCACTACCATCACCACCATCATCACCACCACACCCATAGCTACTACCATTACCACCATCATCACCACCACCACTGCTTTCACTATCACCACCACCACTACCATCACCATCACTGTTGTTGAGGAAGTCTGCCTGAAGCTGTGCTAGAACCCTACTGCACCAGTCCTGAGATACCACAGCCACCACAGCCTCTGATTTGAAGCCCGAATGGAACGGACAATCCATCTAGCTTTTGGGAGCTGGACCTGGAGCATTTGGTATCTGAATGTCAAGTCTTTGGAGGGTGTGTTCGAGGTGGCGACTTTGCCTACCAGAAGGCAGCTTTGAGCATGAGTCTCTACCTTTATGGGCTGTGGCCACACACCATCTGTTGTTGCAACTGAATTTGGGAGAAATGTCCACTCAGAAATGAGGACTCATTAGGGTGAGAGGCCAGGAGGTTGTCAGGACCCAGTAAGACTCATGTGAGGATAGGGAAATTAAGATATTTTCTAACTGATTTAGTACAGTGTGATAGGAAATGCAGATGCCTCAACATGATGTCACAGAACCCCAAACCAATGCCTCCCTGGGTTTCTCATCAATAAATCAGTCAGCCCCAGGCCTCAGTATTTCCACGTTGCAAAATTATTTCCACATTGCAGAATTATTTCCAAAAGATCTAGCTTCCTTGTGGGCACTACGAGGTGCACCCCGTAAATAAGCCTGGAGCTCCACAGACTGGGCCATCTTGTTGGTCGTTCAGAGACTTGTCTTACAATCAGTACAAACTGATTTTCATATCTTTACTTTCTATGTCTATGGAAGATGCATTTAATATGCAATCTTTATATTAATACACATCATGACTTGATATTTAAAAGAATTAGAGATGGTCATGAACTTGAGTTGGCAAGCTTTATCTGTAAAGGACCAAATGATAAATATCTTGGCTTTGAAAGCCACAAAGATTACTGTTTCCTCCTCCTCATCTTACTCCTTCTCCTCTTCTTCTTCTCTTCCTTCTCCTCCTTTCTTCTCTCTTCCCCACTTCTTCTCTGTCCCTGTCTCCATCTCATTTTTCCTACAACCCTTAAAAAAATATAAAAACCATTCTTAGCTCAAAGGCTTGTGAGCACAAAATATCTGAGAAAGGTCTCAGTCAATTTAGAAAGTATTTTGGCAAGGTGAAGGATGCATCCATGATACAGCCTCAGGAAGTCCTGAGACTTGTGCCTGAGGTGGTCGGGGGCTGAGGCATGCGCAGGAGGTGGACGGGGGCCTGAGGCATGTGCCCGAGGTGGTCGGGGGCACAGTTTGCTTTTATACATTTTAGGGAGACATGAGACGTCAATCAATATGTGTAAGACATACTTTGGTTCAGTCCAGTAAGGCGGGATGACTGGAAATGGCGGCTTCCAGGTTAGAAATAGATAAGAGACAAAAGTTTGCATTCTTTTGAGTCCTTGACCAGCCTTCCAGTGAATACACAATTGAGCCTGGCTCAGTGAATCTGCATTTTTACATAAGCAATAGGGGAGAGGGAGCAATGAGATGCATTTGTCTCAGGGCAGCCTCAGAGGGGTGACTTTGAACAGAATGGGAGGCAGGTTTGCCCTGAGCAGTTCCCAGCTTGACTTTTCCCTTTAGCCTGGAGATTTTGGAGTCCCAAGGTTTGTTTTCCTTTCCCAGGCCCTACATGAAAAGACAGGTGGGGTAGGTCCCGGGGCTCTGGTTTGCTGACCCCTGGTCAGAGTGTCTTTGAGGAAGTCACTATCAGTGGAAATGTCACTAAACCCTATATGCTAATCAGCTGGGCATCAGCCTAAAGTGTATTTTCACACAGCACGATTCATCATTAGCAAATTCCAGGAAAATCAACAACGATCAGAACTGACCTTCTCTTGGCTATAATGATCTGTTTGCATCGGATCAGATTTCCTGTGGGGAACAACTAGAAGTGCTGGGTAAAATCCACAGAATGCCTGCTTTGGGGAGCTGCGGAGGCAACCGGGATTTGAGAGGCCAAGATCCTGTTAATTAGCCTGTTTTGATGATTCCACAATGTATATATGTGTTGAAACATCACACCGTAGCCCATAAATATGTACAATTATTTGTCAATTAAAAATAAAATAAAACTTTTTCTTTTTTTTTTTTGAGATGGAGTCCCACTCTGTTGCCCAGGTTGGAGTGCAGTGGCACTGCAACTTCTGCCTCCCAGGTTCAAGCAATTCTCCTGCCTCAGCCTCCCAGTAGCTGGGATTACAGGCATGCACCACCACGCCTGGCTAATTTTTGTATTTTTAGTAGAGACGGGGTTTCACCATGTTGGCCAGGCTGGTCTCAAATTCCTGACCTCAGGTGATCCGCCCACCTCAGCCTCCCAAAGTGCTGGGATGACAGGTGTGAGCCACAGCCCCTGGCCAAAAAAACTTAAAAAAGACCCATCGGAGGGGCACTGTTAGGGAGCCCACTCCCTGCGGGCTGCCTGTCTCCTGGGGGCATTTGTGATTCCTGTCGAAAGAGGCTGAGAAACCAGGCAAGGGCTGTGGAGAAGAGGCAGTGAAACCCACAGAGCACTTGGCAACCTCATAGGGTCATCAACACACAAATAGATGTTTGCATTGCAAAGGTTACCAGGCCCTGAGGAGACTGGATCCCAAAGAGAAAGTAGGTACAGAGGCAATCAGCACCTGTGGCTTTCACCTCTGACACATTTGCCAAATTCTTGAGTTGAATCAGAGGCTGATCAGAAAGCTATGGAAAAGCAGAGCAGGATTTCTGGCAGTCTCATAATGCTGAAGAGATGAAACTGGAATTCAGGAACTTCTAAGAAAGAGGGGCCATCGCACACATCCCAGGTCCCAGCCCCGGATGGGTCATGCCATAGGTGTGAGGATAAACCCCAGGTGACTGAGCCTTCCAAGAATGATGGGTCTGTCTTCTTGTCTCAGGCCTCCCTTGAGTTAAGGGGATCTACCCTCGATCTGGCTGTCTAGTGAGGAGGAAGGTAAGAAGATAGACTCACCCAGAGTCTCTGCAGTTTCATATGTAATGTCTGAATTTCAGTTGTCAAGAAGCAAGACCAAGACACAAAAACAGATGACAACAGTACACCCACAGATAGTTATTATACTTGTTGCAGTCAAATTTTAAAATAACTGTGGTTGATATGTTCAAGAAAATAAAGGGTAAGTGGAAAATTTCACCAGAAAAATTGATTCTATAAACAAAGTAATCAAATGGAAATTCTAGAGCTGAATCTAATAACTCAATAGATGGGCATCACAAAACATTGAGTATGAAGGAAGAGCAGATGAGTGAGCTGGAAGAAGGTCCCTGGGAAATAATGAGGCAGAGTAACAGATCAAAACTGAGAGAAAGTACAGGACGGAGTGTATGAGGCAGAGGAGATCTGTTGGAAAGGTCTATATGTGTAGGTGGAGTCCCAGAAGAGGAGAAGGAAAACAGCTTAGAAGCAATGTTTGAGGCGATGAGAGCTATGATTTTTTTCAAACCTGAAGAAAGACACCAAAGCTTGGATTTTAAAAAATCTATTATATAGCTATTTTAAAGGTAAACAACAGTTGAATATTGGCAGTTTTGTGTGGTTAGTTCAACCTCACAGAATGAACACAAAGAAAACCCTACCTCTGAACATCACTCTAAAATTAGTAAAAACCAAAGTTTAAGAGAAAATCTGGAAAGCAAGCAGAGAAAAATCATAGGAAATTAATCTCTATTGATGAATTGTTTCACCAGAAACCATGGAGACCAGAAGTGTGATGAACCTCGCATGTGATGGAAGAAAACACCCCATCAATTCAAGTTCTCTACTCCCTGGAAATGTTTCTCAGGTATAAAGATGAAATCAAGACGTGACCAGACAGACAGAACTTGAGAGACTCCATCAACAGATGACTCTTAGGAAAAGACAGACAGAACTCGAGAGACTCCATCAACAGATGACTCTTAGGAAAAGACAGACAGAACTCGAGAGACTCCATCAACAGATGACTCTTAGGAAAAGACAGACAGAACTCGAGAGACTCCATC
Organism: Homo sapiens; assembly: GCF_000001405.40. Classification (NCBI taxonomy): domain Eukaryota; kingdom Metazoa; phylum Chordata; class Mammalia; order Primates; family Hominidae; genus Homo; species Homo sapiens. The sequence goes on from NT_187560.1 coordinate 40,711, forward strand.
AACAGATGACTCTTAGGAAAAGACAGACAGAACTCGAGAGACTCCATCAACAGATGACTCTTAGGAAAAGACAGACAGAACTCGAGAGACTCCATCAACAGATGACTCCTACGAAAAGACAGACAGAACTCGAGAGACTCCATCAACAGATGACTCTTGGGAAAAGACTGCAGGGGCTTCTGGCAGGAGGAAAGTAAACCCACATGGAAACCAGGAAACAAGGCAGGCAGGGATAGCAGTGGGAACTATCAATGGGTTGGTAAATCAACACGAATATTGGTGGCACAGAAGGTAAAGGAGTTAGTGTTCTCAGGTTTTGGCATTATCCAGGATGCGATAATGCGTGTTACACTAATAAGTCAGGGATCCATGTCCTTTTTTGTGGAAAGAACATATAACATGAGATCCACCCTCTTAACATTTTAAGTGCATGGCACAGTATTGTTGATGACAGCCATGATCTGTACCGCAGATCTCTAGCACTCGTTCATCCTGCAGAACTAAAACTTGATACCCATTGATTAGCAATACCTCACCCTGCCCCGACCCAGCCCCTGGAAACCACCATTCTTCTCTCTGGGTCTACGCATTGGACTATTTTAGATGCCTCGTCTAAGTGAAATCATCAGTGTTATCTTTTCTGTGCCTGGATTACTTCGCTCAGCTCATGTCTTCCAGGTTCATCTATGCTGTCACTTACAGCAGGATTTTCTTCTTTTTTAAGGCTGAGTAATGTTTCATTGTCTAGATATACCACATGTAAAACATCCATCCATCTGTTGATGGACATTTGGGTTGTGGCCACATCTTGGATATTGCAAATAATGCCACAGTTAGTGTGGGAATGCAAGTATCTCTTTGGAGATCTTGATTTTGACTCTTTTGGGTAAAAACCCAGAGTGGGGTTGCTGGATCAAATAGTAGTTCTATTTTTAATTTTTTGAGGAACCTGTATACTGTTTTCCATAAGGACCTTTTGCATTCCCACAACAGTATACAGTCTTCACCAATACTCATCTTTTTTTTTTCTGATAATAGGTATCCTAACAAGTTTGATATGATAGCTCATTGTAGTGCTGATTTAGATTTTGCTGGCGATTAGTGATGTCGAGCATTTTTGTTGTATACCTGCAGTCCATTTGTATTTCTTCTTGTGAGAAATGTCTATTTAGGTCCTTTTGCCCGTTTAAAAAATCAGGTTATTTTGTTTTTGGTTATTGGGTTGCAGCAGTTCCTTATACATTTTGGACATTAACCTTTTAAAAAGTTATACGATTTGCAAGTATTTTATCCTGTTCTGTAGATTGCCTTTTCACTGTTGATTGTTTCTTTTGCAGAAACTTTAGTTTGATGTAGTCTCCCTTGTCTGTTTCTGCTTTTGTTGCCTGAGCTTTTGGTGTCATATCCAAAAAATAATTGCTAAGACCAATGTCATGAAGGTTTTTTCCTATATTTCCTTCTAGGCGGTTTACAGGTTCAGGTGTTATGTTTAAGGCATGAATCCATTTTTAGTTGATTTGTGTGTGTGTATGGTATAAGGTAACGGTCCAATTTTGTTATGTGCATGTGTGTATCCAGTTTTTCTGACACCATGTGGGATGTGATGTGTGTTGCACCATGATAAATCAAGGTCCCGTGTTATTATTTCTAGAATAGCCACAAAAAGAATAGCTAACAAGCTAAGAAAGGGAATCAAAATAATAATAAAAATACTCCATCCAGAAGAAAGCAATAAAGGATAAAAGGAAAAATAAAACAGATGAGACAAATAAAAAAACAAGGTAAGATAGTCGATATAAATCCCAATATATTAGTAATTTCATTGTAAATAAATGAGATAAATACTCCACTCAAAAATTAAAGATTGTCACTAAAAAACAAAACCACACTGCTTGCAAGGGACCACCTTCAATGTTGAGATATAAAAGTTTGAAACGCTGGAAGAGAATACAATGAAAACACTACCCTAAAGAAAGCTGGTATATCTAAACTAATATACAAAGTAGATGTTAAGGCAGGAAGCATTTTCCGAGATAAAAAGGGCCATAATAAATATAAGGGTTGGTCTATCAGGAACACACAGTAATTATAAATTTGATGCACCTGATATAATTTTCAAATGTATAAAGCAAATATTGAGATAATTACCGGAGAGAATAATGCACATTTTTATGCATGTTTGTTTTTATTATTGGTGTGTGTGTCCTGTCATGTATTTAGAGAGACATGCTGAAGCAGGTCTGAAGAACGGGATTAATGGCCTTGATCTAATGGACACACTGCAACTATCAAAATAGAACCTGTGTTCTTTTCCAGTGCACACAGCATACATATTGAAAATGACCATCTATTAGACGGAAATGTTTTGATCAGATAAACAAATCTTAACATATTGCTAAAGATTGAAATCATTCGGAGTATTTCTTTGGCCAAAGAAATTAAGCTAAAAACAAATGGAAAAAAAAATCCCTAGAAAATCTAAATGTTTGGAAATTAAGCAGTACTCTTCTAAATACCCCATTTGTCAAAGAAGAAATGTCAATAGAAATCTGAAAATATTGTGAACTGAACTATAATAAAAATACAATATTAAACAATTTTGGGAATTTTGGGATCAAGTTAAAGCTATGGTTAGAAATAAATTATAACCTTAGATGCTTTTATTAGAAAAGAAGAAAAGGTGAAAATGACATATGTCTAAAGAGTGTAGAAAAAGAACAGAAAATTGAAGTTAAAGAAATATAAGAATATAATAAAAAGAAAAATAATGTAATAGAAAACAAATGTACGGTAGAGAGAATGAACAAAACCAATCATTGCTTCTTTAAAAGATGTGAATATACACTTCTGGCAAGGCTGATCAAGAAAAACAGAAGGAAGGACCAACTTACCAGTGCCAGGAATGAAAAGTGGACATCGCTATCAATCCGTATCATCAGCAGCTTTTGCCTGTAAACTTCAGAATAAAGTGACAAATGTAGCTATGTATTTTTTTTACCCTGTGATCAAATAATAGCACTCCTAGATACATGTATTCCCAACAGAAATGCAGACTGAGGTATGCAAAGGACATGTACAAGAATGTGCCTAGCAGCTTGGTTCGTATCTGTGGAAGCTGAATATATCTGTCTTTTATGGTCTAGTAATCCCACTCCTATGAGTACATACCCAATAGAAATGCATCCTTAAATATACAAAAAGGCCTAAGAATGTTCCCAGCAGCTTGATTTATAACAGCTTACAACTGAAATAACTTACACGTCTATGCACAGGGGAATGTAGAAATAACTGTGGGATGTTCCATGCAATTAAATACTACAGAGCAATAAAAAACCACCAGCTACTGTTGTACAGAGCCACACAGGTGACTCTCACAAATGGGATATTGCGCAAAGAAGCCGGATTCAGGAGAGCAGAGAGTGTGATTCCACGGACCTACAGTTCAAACAGGCAAAGCTGACGTTCAGCCTGGAATTTAGAATGATGGTGACTGAGAGGATGGGGGCGGGGCTTGTGGGTTATGAATCTATGTCTGGGTGGGAGTGTTTGTTCTGTAAACATTTGTCAGGGCGCGGGGCCTCTTCCCCCTTCCTCGTTCCTGTTTTCACTCCAGGTCAGTCACCAGGTGTTTCTTTTGTAGCAGGAGTGTAAGCCATTCTAGTGAGGGTGAGGTTGTCTTAAGCTCTGTTTTATGGGGGTTGCATCTGTTCTGAGCTGGCCTTGCTCCTGGAAATCCCGGGCCAGGCTGCGTCTTCAGGCAGCACCAAGCTGTGTACTTCTCACTGGTGAACGCTTTGGAATGCATAGTATCTCAACAAAAAGTTTGTAAAGTGATATTTCTAATAGCTGTTGTTTGTTTGCATAATACTTTAAACATATTCCAGGAGCTTGAAAACATATTATCTTTACTGATAGTCTCAGAAAACCTTCGCAGGAGGCTGCAGGCGTTTAAGTGATGTTTGCCTTCCCTGGTAGAGGTGGGGCCTGGGCCAGAGCTTGCACCCTCCCCCTCCTGAACACTGTTCCAAGACGACACAGAGGTTACATTTTCATGAACAAAACGTTTGAAATCCGCTATCTGAGCTCTGTGTTACAGGACTTTGTCGTTTGTAGTCAGCCCTAGCTTGAGAGGTTTGGATGCTTGTTCAGGGAAGGAGCCTGGGATCCTGGAGCGCCCGGTGCTTTCGCCCTGGCTCAAGGCCCCGCCGCTCCTCATGAGTCACTGTGTGTGGTTCCCCTGAGGATCTGGGGAAAACCTGTGACGTCTCCCTGACCGTGTCGTGTTTCTCTTCTCCCTCACACGTCATTAAAGGTCCAGCGAGAACTCTGAGTCCTCCCCGCCCTGGACAAGGCATCCCGTGAGTCAGCCAGAATGTTCCGTGGTCCTGGCTGCAGTGATTGGCTCAGGAGGGGTCATGTGACCAAAGGGGATCCTGTTAGAGTGGATTGGACTCTGAGGATGCTGGACGAGAATCTGCATTTCTGCTCAGGTGGGCTTGTCACTGCTGGCACTTGAGGGCTGGTGTTGGTGTCCAGCAGGCAGGTCAGAGAGAGGGACGAGCAGGTCCCGGATAACATGATGGAGCACTCAGACACAGCTTCCCCTGGCACCAGCCTGTCCCTCGGGTGGGTGGCTGTAAGCCAGTGTGTGCCCAGTGTGTGCCCGGTGTGAGCCAGTGTGTCCTGGTGTGTGCCCAGTGTGAGCCATTGTGAGCCAGTGTGTGGCCAGTGTGAGCCAGTGTGAGCCAGTATGTGCCCAGTGTGAGCCAGTGTGTGGCCAGTATGTGCCCAGTGTGAGCCAGTGTGTGCTCGATGTGAGCCAGTGTGTCCTGGTGTGTGCCCAGTGCGAGCCAGTGTGTGGCCAGTGTGAGCCAGTGTGAGCCAGTATGTGGCCAGTATGTGCCCAGTGTGAGCCAGTGTGTGCTCGATGTGAGCCAGTGTGCCTGCTGTGTGTCTGGTGTGAGCCCAGTGCAAGCCAGTGTGTGCCCAGTATGTGCCCAGTGTGTGTCGTGTGAGGCAGTGTGTGCCTGGTGTGAGCCAGTGTGCCCAGTGTGAGCCATTGTGTGCTCGAGGTGAGCCAGTGTGCCTGGTGTGTGCCTGGTCTAAGCCCAGTGCAAGCCAGTGTGAGCAAGTGTGTGGCCAGTATGTGCCCAGTGTAAGCCTGGTGTGTGCCCAGTTTGAGCCAGTGTTGAGCCCGGAGTGAGCCCAGTGTGAGCCAGTGTGAGCCCAGTGTATACCCAGTGTAAGCCAGTGTGGGCCCAGTGTGAGCCCGCTGTGAGGCAGTGTGTGCCTGGGGCTCACGCTGGCTGGGATCTTTTCTTTGATCTGTCACTGAAAACATTCAGATAAGAATTTGGTTCTGATTTGCTTGGAATCACACAGTGAAGAATTTGAACTTGCTTTCCTCAGTCCAAGCTCTTTGCATTTGTCATGTTCTGGGGTCTTGGGTGGTCCTCGTTAGCCAGCTCCCTCAAGGGCTGACTGGAGTCAAACATGTCTGCTCTGGTTCTGCTCAAACATGTCTGCTTTGGTTCCACGGTCAGACACAGCCAGGGTCAGATGGCCACTGCCTGGGGGTCTCCGTCCAGAGACCATTCTGAGAGTGTGGGGGGCTCTTCCCCCTTCCTCACTGCTGTTTTCACTCCAGGTCAGTCACCCGGTGTTTCTCTCATAGCGGGGGTGAGCTGGGTTCAAGCTGTCATGGGAGTTGTGTCTGTGCTGAGCTGGCCTTGCTTCCTGGAAATCCAGGCCGGGCTGCGGCTTCCTGCAGTGACACGGTGTCGGCCCCACAAGGCACCGAGTGGGCTTTATGGCTTCACTGGTCCCGCAGCCATGCTGCGTCTCTTGTGGTGGAGACACCACCAAATGTTCCCTGTCAATTAGGACAAGAAGCAATGCACTCCCATGCAGTGATCTTGACTCTCAGAGCGGGAATCCACAGGGAGGGGGTGCCGCGCTGAGCCGTGCGAGGCCCCGCAAACCACAGAGCGCTTCTGGGAACATGCCCAGGGTCCACAAACCCCAGAGCATTTCTGTGAATGTGCCTGGGGTGGTTTTCATCTTCACCAGAGACTTCCCACAAGTGGTACCGACTTCCGGGTCTACAGGCCCCTCAGCCTGTGAGCGCCAGCAGGCTGCTCTCCCTCACCTCATCCCATGCTGAGTTTGTGCACTCTTTAGCCCACTTTCAATTCAGTTGGATTCTTCTGCTGCTTGGGATCCTTACAAAGCATTGTTGTTTAAGAAAACTTCATGTCCCAGCTGGGCGTGGTGGCTCATACCTGTAATCTCAGCACTTTGGGAGGCCGAGGCAGGTGGATCACAAGGTCAGGAGTTTGAGACCAGCCTGGCCAACATAGTGAAACCCCATCTCTACTAAAAATACAAAAATTAGCTGGGCGTGGTAGCGTGCACCTGTAATCCCAGCTACTCAGGAGGCTGAGGAAGGAGAATTGCTTAAACCCAGGAGGCAGAGGTTGCAGTGAGCCAAGATTGTACCATTGCACTCCAGCCTGGACGACAGAGCGAGACTCCATCTCAAAAGAAAAAAGAAAAGAAAAGAAAAAGAACAGTTTATGTCCCACGAGTACGGCTACACACATCTTCCTTTTAAATGATCACTTTTGTTTGGAGATTTGGACTTGACATTTCAGGCCATTAGCTCACCATCCATGGCCTGTTATGGAAACCCACTCCTGCATCCATCTGTATTAAGATTGCATTTAATAAAAAAGCCATGAATTAGTGAAAAACCAGAAACTGAGTTGAGCCCATCTTTCCATATGTTTGCCTGCTGGCGGTCTGGAGCTGAGTTCTTTCCTCTCAGACAGGGCTCTGCTGTTGGGATGGCCATGTGCTTGAGCGGAGGGTGGCAGGAGGGAGGTGGGACCAGGCCAGGCTCTCCCAGGCCGGGAATGAGGGAGCTAGCACATCACCAGCGGGTCTAAGGGTTTGTGGAAGCTGCAGTGGGGACCCAGCATTGGGCTGACGGTCCGTGGGAACGAGGCAGAGATGGTGGTGGAGCTGGGTGGTGCAGAGAGTGCCTGATGGCGGGAAGGTCCTGGAGAAGGGATGCTGAGCTCTGAGCTGCAGGAGGAACAGCTGCTAAGGACCAGCGTGGAGAGCCTAGCACCACCTTCCTAAGGTTTCCTTTGTGCCGGCTGTGGATCTGCTGGAACGTGTTCTTCCCTGGAGATGTGGGGGAGCTCCTGCTGTGGAGAGAGGTCTCAGATGCTGCCTCCCAGTGCTCTCGGCTTCAGGAAAGCCTCTCGACTGGGTGACAGCCCCACCCTGCCCCTGAATGGGTAGGGCACCTCCGAAACACATCGGTTGGATCCGGAAGCATGTTCTTAGTACAGAGCAGTTAGATGAGACTATTACGGTTTAGCAAGCGAGACAGCCAGTGCTAGGAGTCCAAAGCCTTGGTCTCAGTTCAGGCTTGGCCACCAACCCGCCACGTGCCCACAGGTTGATGTAGCTGGCTCAGCTGGAACTCGTAAATCCTCCCACACCCTGTTTTTCTTGCAGTAAGGCTGTCCCGGCACCAGGGTGCAGCTGGGATGCCCCCAGGACGATCTGCATGACGGTAGCTGCTTTTATAATTTCCATTGCCATGAAAAATAGCTGTCTTTATTGGAAAAGACCCTGAAAGAAGCGAGTAAGTAACATACAGACACGGTGACTGAACTTCCCCATCAGAACCAGGAAGGAACTCTGTCACTGAACTGTGACTGCCTCCGTTAGACTTGGTTCACCGCCCGGCCCCCTTGGATCACTGACTAAAAACGACCCGACTGTGTGAAACAGAGGCCTGGTCGAGTAATGGTGACTCTGTGACAGATACCTTGCAGGTACTAAAATTATACTTCTTAGGAGTTTCTTAAGAACATAAGAAAATTCCGGTGGAATAGTGTTAAATGACAAAGGCAGCTGTAAAAGTGTCCCAATACTGCGATCTCAACCATGGAGAGAAACAGCCAATGCCAGCAGCCGTTTCCTCAGATCGGTGGGTTACAAATAATTTTAGTTTTCTCCTTTGCAGTTTCTGTGCGGTGGCACACATCGTTTAAAAGGACAACCCGGTGACTTCCCTAAGGGTTCCCCCGAGGGTCTTGCTGCCGCCCTCGTCTTCTGAGCCACCAAGAGCAGGCCCCTTGTCTTGGATGCGCTGCGAGTCACGTCCGACGCCGCTGTGCCTTCACCACCTCATGTTTTATTACTGTTAAAAATGAATGTTTTTCCATTTTGGGATGAGAGAGTGCCCCAGCTCCCCTGCCCTCTTACAGGAGTGAATTTCATTCGTGGCCCCAGTTTAAAGACACTCGGATTGGCTTGTTGGTTTCATCATAACCTTCTTTAAACACTTGGTGACAGGCTAAGAGAACCCCTGAAATCAGAATGTAAGTCCTCGGCGGAGTTAGGTATGCAGGACTCAGCTAGGCTGGTCTCGGACTCTGCGTCTTTCCCGGCGCTGTGCAGGCCTCAGCTAGGCTGGTCTCGGACCCCGCGTCTTTCCCGGCGGTGCGCAGGCCTCAGCTAGGCTGGTCTCGGACCCCGCGTCTTTCCCGGCGGTGCGCAGGCCTCAGCTAGGCTGGACTCGGACTCTGGGTCTTTCCCGGCGGTGCGCAGGCCTCAGCTAGGCTGGACTCGGACCCCGCGTCTTTCCCGGCGGTGCGCAGGCCTCAGCTAGGCTGGTCTCGGACACCGCGTCTTTCCCGGCGGTGCGCAGGCCTCAGCTAGGCTGGACTCGGACCCCGCGTCTTTCCCGGCGGTGCGCAGGCCTCAGCTAGGCTGGACTCGGACTCTGGGTCTTTCCCGGCGGTGCGCAGGCCTCAGCTAGGCTGGACTCGGACCCCGCGTCTTTCCCGGCGGTGCGCAGGCCTCAGCTAGGCTGGACTCGGACTCTGGGTCTTTCCCGGCGGTGCGCAGGCCTCAGCTAGGCTGGACTCGGACCCCGCGTCTTTCCCGGCGGTGCGCAGGCCTCAGCTAGGCTGGACTCGGACCCCGCGTCTTTCCCGGCGGTGCGCAGGCCTCAGCTAGGCTGGACTCGGACTCTGGGTCTTTCCCGGCGGTGCGCAGGCCTCAGCTAGGCTGGTCTCGGACACCGCGTCTTTCCCGGCGGTGCGCAGGCCTCAGCTAGGCTGGACTCGGACCCCGCGTCTTTCCCGGCGGTGCGCAGGCCCCAGCTAGGCTGGACTTGGACTCTGGGTCTTTCCCGGCGGTGCGCAGGCCTCAGCTAGGCTGGACTCGGACTCTGGGTCTTTCCCGGCGGTGCGCAGGCCTCAGCTAGGCTGGTCTCGGACACCGCGTCTTTCCCGGCGGTGCGCAGGCCTCAGCTAGGCTGGTCTCGGACCCGCGTCTTTCCCGGTGGTGCGCAGGCCTCAGCTAGGCTGGTCTCGGACACCGCGTCTTTCCCGGCGGTGCGCAGGCCTCAGCTAGGCTGGACTCGGACCCCGCGTCTTTCCCGGCGGTGCGCAGGCCTCAGCTAGGCTGGTCTCGGACTCTGCGTCTTTCCCGGCGGTGCGCAGGCCTCAGCTAGGCTGGTCTCGGACACCGCGTCTTTCCCGGCGGTGCGCAGGCCTCAGCTAGGCTGGACTCGGACCCCGCGTCTTTCCCGGCGGTGCGCAGGCCTCAGCTAGGCTGGTCTCGGACACCGCGTCTTTCCCGGCGGTGCGCAGGCCTCAGCTAGGCTGGACTCGGACCCCGCGTCTTTCCCGGCGGTGCGCAGGCCTCAGCTAGGCTGGTCTCGGACACCGCGTCTTTCCCGGCGGTGCGCAGGCCTCAGCTAGGCTGGACTCGGACCCCGCGTCTTTCCCGGCGGTGCGCAGGCCTCAGCTAGGCTGGACTCGGACTCTGGGTCTTTCCCGGCGGTGCGCAGGCCTCAGCTAGGCTGGACTCGGACCCCGCGTCTTTCCCGGCGGTGCGCAGGCCTCAGCTAGGCTGGACTCGGACCCCGCGTCTTTCCCGGCGGTGCGCAGGCCTCAGCTAGGCTGGACTCGGACTCTCCGTCTTTCCCGGCGGTGCGCAGGCCTCAGCTAGGCTGGACTCGGACCCCGCGTCTTTCCCGGCGGTGCGCAGGCCTCAGCTAGGCTGGTCTCGGACTCTGCGTCTTTCCCGGCGGTGCGCAGGCCCCAGCTAGGCTGGTCTCGGACTCTGCGTCTTTCCCGGCGGTGCGCAGGCCTCAGCTAGGCTGCACTTGGACCCCGCGTCTTTCCCGGCGGTGCGCAGGCCTCAGCTAGGCTGGTCTCGGACTCTGGGTCTTTCCCGGCGGTGCGCAGGCCTCAGCTAGGCTGCACTTGGACCCCGCGTCTTTCCCGGCGGTGCGCAGGCCTCAGCTAGGCTGGTCTCGGACACCGCGTCTTTCCCGGCGGTGCGCAGGCCTCAGCTAGGCTGGACTCGGACCCCGCGTCTTTCCCGGCGGTGCGCAGGCCCCAGCTAGGCTGGTCTCGGACTCTGCGTCTTTCCCGGCGGTGCGCAGGCCCCAGCTAGGCTGGTCTCGGACTCTGCGTCTTTCCCGGCGGTGCGCAGGCCCCAGCTAGGCTGGACTGACTCTGCGTCTTTCCCGGCGCTGTGCAGGCCTCAGCTAGGCTGGACTCGGACCCCGCGTCTTTCCCGGCGGTGCGCAGGCCTCAGCTAGGCTGGTCTCGGACCCCGCGTCTTTCCCGGCGGTGCGCAGGCCTCAGCTAGGCTGCACTTGGACCCCGCGTCTTTCCCGGCGGTGCGCAGGCCTCAGCTAGGCTGGACTCGGACACCGCGTCTTTCCCGGCGGTGCGCAGGCCTCAGCTAGGCTGCACTTGGACCCCGCGTCTTTCCCGGCGGTGCGCAGGCCTCAGCTAGGCTGGACTCGGACTCTGGGTCTTTCCCGGCGGTGCGCAGGCCTCAGCTAGGCTGGTCTCGGACCCCGCGTCTTTCCCGGCGGTGCGCAGGCCTCAGCTAGGCTGGTCTCGGACCCCGCGTCTTTCCCGGCGGTGCGCAGGCCTCAGCTAGGCTGGTCTCGGACCCCGCGTCTTTCCCGGTGGTGCGCAGGCCTCAGCTAGGCTGGTCTCGGACCCCGCGTCTTTCCCGGCGGTGCGCAGGCCTCAGCTAGGCTGGACTCGGACACCGCGTCTTTCCCGGCGGTGCGCAGGCCTCAGCTAGGCTGGTCTCGGACTCTGGGTCTTTCCCGGCGGTGCGCAGGCCTCAGCTAGGCTGGTCTCGGACCCCGCGTCTTTCCCGGCGGTGCGCAGGCCTCAGCTAGGCTGGACTCGGACACCGCGTCTTTCCCGGCGGTGCGCAGGCCTCAGCTAGACTGGTCTCGTACTCTGCGTCTTTCCTGGCAGTGCATCAGCAGGACTTTCAGCCTATTGTTTTGGGTTCTTAGCAGCAATGAACATGATTGTTTTTGTCTTAAGGCCTCAAGTGATGGCCACATGAAGGAGGGTCCCCTCCTTTACCGACAGTCACCTGATGGTGGATGGTAGTTATAACTACAGAATGCCTTCTCCGAAACACCCGGGCCCCAGACCTGGTGAGCTGGTATGGGAGATTAGGCTGATGGTTAATGCCTGTGGGCCCCGAGATCCCCGGACCTTCTTGAGGGTGCTGAGCACACCTGGCGTGGGAGATTAAGCTGATGGTTAATGCCCCTGGGCCCCGAGGTCCCCGGACCTTCTCGAGGGTGCTGAGCACACCTGGCGTGGGAGATTAAGCTGATGGTTAATGCCTGTGGGCCCCGAGGTCCCCAGATGTTCTCGAGGGTGCGGCACATGCATGGCCACTGGGGCCAGGCAGCAGCATCGTGCTTGACTCTGCTCTCAGGGCTCTCAGGGCCGCGCTCTGCGGGCGTCTCAGTCCCCGGTTTGAAGAGCATTTTCTGACCACTGGGCATTACGCGTGCTGGCATGTGTGTATGAGCCTGTTCCGTACACACATATGATTTGTTTGAATGTAGCCAGAGACAGGTTAATAGAGGAATCGGGAGAGTCAGTTCTTTCACTAATATTCATCTCCGGTGGTCACAGACGTTGTCCCTGTTTTTGTGTGAAGTGATGTTCACTCGGCCCCCGGAGCTAGTGTGTTATAATCAGACTTTGGGAGCAATAAACGTTAACAGGCAGAGTTTCTGAAAACGCCTCGCTTTGCTCCTTGACGGAATTCCATTACAGCTGGGGGAATCGATACGACGCCTTGCTTCATTATTGCTTTTCTTCCACGTGGGCAGTTGCTTAATAAAGCCCGAAGAACGGGCCGCACCGAAAACAGAACGGGATGGTGCCAGGTGCCTCCCCTCTCTGGCCTCTCTGCATCCACCTGTGGGATGCGCCTTGTGTACGTCACAGAGCACTCCTGCGCCACACGTAAGCCTGTGTCCACCCTGGAGAAATCACTGGGCGCCTGGAGGGTGGTCCAGCAGGTTCCGGAATCCGACGGCTGCCTCTCTGCTCGGAGACCTTGGAGCTGTTTAGCCTCTTCCGAATTAATCTTTCTCGTCTAAAAAAGTGAAAATAAGGTAATTACCACCTTAGAGGGGAGTTGTGAGGATTAAAGGAAATGATACATGCAAACTACAGACCACAGCAGAACTCCGTGCAAAGCAGTTTTCAGGATTCCATTCCAGTGTTGGCCGTAAAGGGACTGTAATGTCCCAGTTTCTCTTTCCTCATCTAGAAAATGAGGGGCTGGATGTGGTGGCTCATGCCTGTAATCCCAGCACTTTGGGAGGCGGAGGTGGGCGGAACACTTGAGGTCAGGAGTTTGAGACCAGCCTGGTTAACGTGGTGAAACCCCGTCTCTACTAAAAATACAAAAACTAGTAATCTCAGCTACTCAGGAGGCTGAGGCAGGAGAATCGCTTGAACCTAGGAGGTGGAGGTTGCAGTGAGCTGAGATGGTGCCATTGCACTCCAGCCTGGGTGACAGAGTGAGACTTTGTCTCAAAAAAAAAAAATGAGGAACCAGAGGGGCTAATCTCTGAGACCTCTTCCCCTCTAAGAACATTTTCGTTGAGACATTTTGGGAGTGCCCTGGGCAGGACAGGCAGGGCACTGGAGAGGAAGCTAGGGCGGGACCATTTCATGTCCCTAGGGTTCACCGTGTCCCCACGAGGTCATGGGTGCTCCCCGGAAAGGTCAGGCTTGCATCACTCAGCAAAGGAAGGTTACTGTGGGTGGAGGGAAGCCCCCCAAATCCACTTCCTTCACTGCCGTGCTGCTCAGGTCTGGCCCAGCAGCAGGGGATAGAACATGGATCCCGGTTTCTCCCCCGTGGTTTCTCTTGGGTTTCTTGCTTGTTTCCCAGATGAGTTGATGTATACAGTTTATTCACGGATCAAGGCTCATTTCTTTGCTATCTTAACAAGTGACAGCGTTGGAGATAAATTTGCATTTTGTGGTGTCACCTCAGGCTTCCTTGTTGCTTTGGGCTGAGTAGCAGGGATGGAACACCTGTGGTCTCGGGTTTATCGGCCATGGTTCCTATCTGGGAAACTGGCGTGGGCCCTGATTGGCTATCGTCACCCTCTCCTCGCTTTATCTCTGGAGAGCAGCAGGAGTGTGCAGTGGCTTTGAAGCCTTTCTTTGTCTCTACTGACCATGCAAATTACACACCAACTACTTGTAAGCTTGAGCTCCTGTGAGCTGGCCGAGCTCGGGAAGATTATTGAGACCATGTCCGAATGGTGGCCCCAGAAGCCGGCAGTGTCAGCCCAGGTGTGACGGAGACCACATCCCAATGGTGGCCCCAGAAGCCGGCAGTGTCAGCCTGGGTGTGACTGAGACCACATCCGAATGGTGGCCCCAGAAGCCGGCAGCGTCAGCCTGGGTGTGACTGAGACCACGTCCGAAGGGTGGCCCCAGAAGCCGGCAGCGTCAGCCCAGGTATGACATCCCGTGTAGCTGCTGAGGCCTTCAGATGGCATTTGCTCTTTCATGTGGACTACAGGGTTTCTTTTTCTTCTTTTTCCTTCTTTCTATCTTCCTTTTATTTTACTTTCTTTGAGACATGTAAGAGTATGTGTGTGCATCTGAAATGAGAATCTGGCAGCATTCAGAGTTTTCCGGCTCAATTCCGTGTCCAGATTTGAAATTCAGAAAATCAGATGGTGTTGGAAGCTGCCATTGATGGGGTTTGTTGGTACTTCTCAACCTGCCATTCCAGCTCTCCCCAACCAAGCTGGCCAAAGAGTTCAAGCCTTTTGCAGAGACGTGGATGCTGTCTTTTGCTGTTTAAGAACCTACCTAGGATTTGCATTCTGATCTGCATTTCTTAAAAGGTTGACTGAAATTCAGTTCCTTGTAGTCTAGCTCCTTTGCAGTTTTTGATCTCTGAGGAAGATTCAGTCAGCTCGTAAAATTAATGGATTCTAGCAAAATTGCGTTTTAGTGATACTTTTCAGTAGATATTCTGTGAAAAGTGGATTTGAAGTATTTCTGTGATGAGGCTCGATTATTAATGCAGAACTTGATTGCCAAGAACCAAACTACCTCCCTCATCAGTAACTTGGTCTCTAGCTTCAGCATCTGTTGCTTGAATATTTCACAGACCTGAAAATGAAGGTGGGCCCAAGTTGTTCAGGGTTAAGACAAACTTTATTTTTTTAACCCCAAACCTTAGGGCTAATAAAAATTCTTTATTAGAATGCCCAAAGGCATTGATGAATAGGTTTGGTCACTACTTTTAAATGTAAAACTTTTTAATTTCAGTTCCATCTCATTTACATCAAACAGAGCATATGGCTCCCAAAGCAGCCCAGAACATGCTGCGGAGAAAACTAGCAATTTACTCCACGATTCAGCTTCATTTTTCTTTCATTTTCATGGAAACCATAAGATTGTTTTTGTGTTTCAAATCAAACATGTTTTTGAGCAAAGAGTACATTACCCAGCTGTCCTAAAAGCAGAACTTATCACTGTTCAGATTTAATCCAAGCCATCTGCTGCGTTTCTTTCTTTCCATTTATTTCTGAGGCACATCACAGGAAAGCTGCTTCTTGACATATCTCACTTGGAGAAACTACAAAGAGGAAAATATGGCAAAAACTTTCAATGTCGCTTTGTCGATGCACTTTGCATAAATAATGAAACGTTGCCCTCCGCTCAGTGTTCAAAAACCCAGTGCTTGTCACCCCAACTTTAAAATAAATAGGAAAACTCCAAGAAACAAACTCAGCCTTACATGTTCATTTCCTACCAGGGTGGGTGTCACTAATATCCACAGGCTGAGCTCTTTTTTCAAGTGTGATTCCAGTCAGCTTTTCAACCAAAGGCCTGAGAGCTGTGCAGGACATGACAGGTGCACCAGGGGACCACCAGCCAGAATGGGAGCAACAAGGGGTGCGGCTGGCCCTCGATTCCAAAGCCTGGACTGAAGATCTGAGCCACACACGTCTAATGGGGTACGGGAATCCTCAGTCCAGAAATGACCTTGAACTCAGATACTTGAGCAGAGGATGACATGGGCAGAACTGAGTATATTGTGCTTTCTAAGATGTTATGGGTCCGATCAAGAATGGGAAGGTGATCCCTGGAATTGGACATCTCTGTCAGGCCCTGTTGGAACCCAGGGCGTCTGTAAGCCACAACCGCCTGTGACCTGCCCCTCATGCAACTGCCACGTCTCATCAACAGGGACGCGGAGGAAACTGACTCCGAGCCGTCACTTCATCCCCGCTTCCATGGAAGACATGCTGCTTACATATTTCACAAATGTGGCCGGAGAAGGGAGGCAGGAACCACTCAGTCACTGGGATTATCTTCTGGGAAGCCCACTCGGATGATGGGGAGTATCTTCTGGGAAGCCCACTAGGATGACAAGGAGGACCTCATCTGCATGGCTCACAGCCATGACAGCTTGGGTCTCAGAGGGAAGGGAACTCAGGGGCAATGCGCACTGGTGGGATTGCTTATGCACGATATTTGTCAAGCCATCTCTTTTTGTAAATAACTCTTCTCATTAAAAACATAAGGCAGCTTTGCAACTATGCTGATCTCATTGGCTTTTGGTGAAGAAGAAGGAATGTGTGCTGGACCCTGTGCCTGAAGCTGGAGTCCCAGGTACCCCAAGCCCAGGAAAAGACAAAGCCAAGATTCTATGTTCTGAAAGGAGCCAAATGTGGCTCAGTTGCCCTCAAAGGAGAGAAGATCCAAGGTAACCCGTGGTCAGCAAGAGTCAGAGGGCTGAAGCTGTGCCTGTGGTGTTGGCTGAAGACTGAGGGGCCTTTTCGCGGGTGGGCAGTCTCTTCCTCCTCACTGCAGCTTTGGGGTGCTGATGCTCTGAGTTCAGGGTAAGGCCAGCTCGCCGTGAGACAATGTGTCCTGCCTGCCTTGGGAAGGAAAACGGGAGGAATTGGGAGGGAGAACATGTTCCCAGTTCTTTACTCACTGTTGTGCTGGACACAAATGTGGCAGGAACCTCTGATAAAATGCCCCAAAGCTCTGGAGACCTTAGGGGTCAGGTCCTGTGCACAAGATTGTAACAGTGGCCAACATGACAGAGTTTCAACAGATGCCTGTTGAGTAAAGAATGCAGGCACCGAGGTTCAGGCACAGCTCGGGGTCCAATGCTAACATAGGTGGATTGCATCACCAGCACTGGTGTCAGTGGGCCTTTTCCTTCAGGAGTGGGCTTTGAAGTAATGACTGCCACTTCTTTTGGATTTGGAGATAATAAAATAACGAAGTGCTGAGCTTCCAAGTCCGGTCAGACATCACGTGTGAGCTTCTGAGTCCGGTCAGACATCACGTGTGATCTTAGAAATCCCTGAGTGGTGAATGCTGGCCACACCGAGTGCTGGAGGCTTGTGAATTCGACTCTCTTCTCCAAGTCCTCCATCAGGTATTTCACTCATTCCAGCTGCAGTGCTGCGTGGTGAGGCTCCTGGCGTGACATGGAAGGAGGGCTGTGTGAGTCAGGGCTGACACTCCCAGAGCAGGGAATGGGAAAGAGAGCAGCCACTCTGCTGCCTTCCCATGTGGAAGGGTCTGTGGAGCTGGGCACCTCCGAGAGTCCCGAGGCCCCGTGCACTTGACTGAGACTTCCTCAGTCTCTGATGAGTGATTACGGCAGTGACAGAATTCTTGCAATGATGGAATTCTTGCAGTGAAGGAATTCTTGCAGTGACGGAATTCTTGCTGGTGACAGCTTATATAATGTTTGCAAAACAGCCGTTTTCTAAAATGGAGCTTTCCAGGCCAAAAATGCTTGATGTCAAGAAAATGACTTTTAGCTTTGAGATAGCATCTGGGTCTAATTTCAGAAAGGTGGGTCTACACACAGGTTACTGCCAAGGACACATGTCTTCAGGCTCCAGAACCCTGCCTCAAGGCTGGCAACACCACAGCTGCCTGAAATGCAATATTTAAACACAGAACCTTACAAAAGATGGCAAGAGGGTCAGAGTCAAGCACAAAACCAATACCAGGTTGTACCTCATTGCATGGTGAAGGAGAAGTGGCAAGGACTATGTGAGCCACTGGAATAACTTATAGGAAAATGAGGATTGTTTCATGACCTGTAATGTTGTGAAAACGTTACAAACTCTTATAATCTAAGTGTGTATGGAAATGAAAACAGTGAGTCTGACAATGATGTAGTACACTGTGACAACACAGTGGGACAGTGAGAGCTACAGCATCTTGATGTAGTACAACATGACTTAACACAGTGGGACACTGAGAGCTGGAGCATCTCGATGTAGTACACCATGACTTAACACAGTGGGACACTGAGAGCTACAGCATCTTGATGTAGTACACCGTGACTTAACACAGTGGGACACTGAGAGCTACAGCATCTCGATGTAGTACACCGTGACTTAACACAGGGGGACACTGAGAGCTACAGCATCTTGATGTAGTACACCGTGACTTAACACAGCGGGACACGGAGAGCTACAGCATCTCGATGTAGTACACCGTGACTTAACACAGCGGGACATGGAGAGCTACAGCATCTCGATGTAGTACACTGTGACTTAACACAGTGGGACACGGAGAGCTAGAGCATGTCGATGTAGTACACCATGACTTAACACAGCGGGACACTGAGAGCTACAGCATCTCGATGTAGTACACCATGACAACACAGTGGGACACTGAGAGCTAGAGCATCTTGATGTAGTTCACCATGACTTAACACAGCGGGACACGGAGAGCTAGAGCATCTCGATGTAGTACACCATGACTTACCACAGCAGGACACGGAGAGCTACAGCATCTCGATGTAGTACACCATGACAACACAGTGGGACACTGAGAGCTAGAGCATCTCGATGTAGTACACCGTGACTTAACACAGCAGGACACGGAGAGCTAGAGCATCTTGATGTAGTACACCATGACTTAACACAGCGGGACATGGAGAGCTGGAGCATCTCGATGTAGTACACCGTGACTTAACACAGTGGGACACTGAAAGCTAGAGCATCTCGATGTAGTACACCATGACTTAACACAGCGGGACACTGAGAGCTAGAGCATCTCGATGTAGTACACCGTGACTTAACACAGTGGGACACTGAGAGCTAGAGCATCTCGATGTAGTACACCATGACTTAACACAGTGGGACACGGAGAGCTAGAGCATCTCGATGTAGTACACCATGACTTAACACAGGGGGACACGGAGAGCTAGAGCATCTCGATGTAGTACACTGTGACTTAACACAGCGGGACACTGAAAGCTAGAGCATCTCGATGTAGTACACCGTGACTTAACACAGCGGGACACTGAGAGAGCATCTCGATGTAGTACACCGTGACTTAACACAGTGGGACACTGAGAGCTAGAGCATCTCGATGTAGTACACCGTGACTTAACACAGTGGGACACTGAGAGCTAGAGCATCTCGATGTAGGACACCGTGACTTAACACAGTGGGACACTGAGAGCTAGAGCATCTCGATGTAGGACATCATGACTTAATAGAGTGGGACAGTGAGAGCTACAGCAGCATCTCGATGTAGTACACCATGACTTAACACAGTGGGACACTGAGAGCTAGAGCATCTCGATGTAGTACACCATGACAACACAGCGGGACACTGAAAGCTACAGCATCTCGATGTAGTTCACCATGACTTAACACAGCGGGACACTGAAAGCTACAGCATCTCGATGTAGTACACCATGACAGCACAGCGGGACACTGAAAGCTTCAGCATCTCGATGTAGTACACCATGACTTAACACAGTGGGACACTGAAAGCTTCAGCATCTCGATGTAGTACACCATGACTTAACACAGCAGGACACTGAGAGCTAGAGCATCTTGTTGTAGTGCACTGTGACTTAACACAGCAGGGAAACTGAGAGCTACAGCATCTCAATGTAGTACACTGTGACTTACACCAGGACACTGAGAGCTACGGCATCTTGATGTAGTACACCACAACTTAACACAGTGGGACACTGAGAGCTGCAGCATCTTGATGTAGTGCACTGTGACTTAGCACAGGGGGACAGTGAGAGGTAGAGCATCTCGATGTAGTGTGTGTGGCACTTGAATCCTTGTCTAGGCTGTGATAGTTGTGAGCATTCTCCCCATGGCTTGCTGAGTGTCAATCCCTTTCTGAGTCTGGATTGCCCTCCAACATTTTGTGCTTTGCCATTTTGTGGTGGTGAAGTGCCTCTGAGTGTCCCTTTACTGTGAAGGTCTTATTGCCCCATTTCCCCTGGATATCATCGTTTCCCTCACAGCCACTTCCCTGCTGTGTGCGGATGAGTTGCCTTCCTTAGGTTCCTGCAGCACCGTGAGTGTCCCACATGGTAGCCAGTCTATGTTTCCCAGCAGGCTGTCTGTTTCCTGCCCCCTGGCCTTTCTTTGGAATTTCACTTCCAGCACCATCCCTTTTCATTCTCTGGTGCACTTATATCTTTGTTTGTCTGTTCTTTCTTCTGATAATTCACTTCTGCGAAATGTTGTTTGGTTTCTCCCTGGGAGATGATGTGGCCACACAGCTCCATGCTTTGCTGTCTGTGCTGAGCTGAGTGACAGGCACCCTGGCCAATCCCCATGCAGCCACCAATCCCACATGGCTGTTAACATGTGGTGGTTTGTTGCCTACACCTGGCAGCACACTTTGTACTTTATGTAGTTACTCGGTTAACATGCCATGTAATTGAAATCTGGACTGTGTGGTTGGGGGCTGGGGGTGCATATCTAAACTTTGGCCATGTATCCCTGTGGGTTGGGCCTGCAAGGGAGGACAGTCGGATGCAATCAGATCATCCACCACAGTTGTCCCAAGCCTGGCTGACTATGGAGTGAAGCTGGATTCCCATTCCTGGGCCCCAAAGTGGACCTTCACAGAAGGCTTCCTCCAGTGCATGGGGCCCAGGGAAGGCACCTGTGTGGAAAGTATTTAGGGATGGTTCAGGTGTGCAGTCAGGCTTGGGAACCGTGGATTGTAGGATTTGCTGTTTCTGAAACCAACACCAAAGGTGGATGTGGAAGAGAAGAAACCAGAACCTAACACTTAGATTCCTAGAAGAGACAGGACTGTGGTGGCTGCCACCAGACACGTCATGGGGATGTGGAGCCCCAGCCACAGCAGACACAGGGGTGGCAGGGGCTTCTAGGGGACCACCCAGCCCTCTGAGGAATGCTCTGGTATTGAAAATCCTTAGAGACAATTTATGAACTACTCTGAAGTCCCTTCTTAGTGACTAAAACTAGGCTAAATCACCTGATTTGTTTAATTTTTCCTTAAGAAACTTTCTCATTTATCAATTGAATGAGGAAGAGGCATGGGTGGCCTGCATACTTCATTGAGGGTCTTTGACGAGGATTTGCGTGTATGGGATATTAATGAGCCATTGTAGGGTGGGGTGGGGGGACAAGTCCTCAACAATAACTCTGAGGCGGGGCCCGTGGTATATGCAGTTCTTGTTGGTAGAATGGGCCCATGGTTCTAAACCCTTTCTGTACATCCACAGTAGCTGGGAGTGCTCAGATAAGTCTGGTAAGCAGGCCGCACTCCGGAGCAGTGACATCTGAATCTGGTGGAGGTGGGGCCCAGGCACCTGCATTTTCAGGGTCCCAGGTGGTGTCCAGTGTCATCCAGGGCTGAAGCAGCTGGTGGGGGCTTAGAGAGGATGGTGGGTAGGGCCTGGGGTGACCCTTCCAAACCCAGGCAGCAAGGCTGCTGGCTCTCTCCCCTGAGGAAGGAAAGCAGGAGGGTTTCTTGAAGCCACCTGCTACAGGTTGTTTTTGTTTGTTTGACGTCATTCATCAGCTTTGCGTCTCTTCACCAATACTGTCGCTGGGGCCCAGAGTGGGGACTGCAGAGTAAAGATTAATTGGGAAGCAGGGAGTTGAGGTGTGGTTTCTGGCCTCTTGGTAGGTCAGGAAATTAGCTGTTTGTATCATCAGAGAAGTAGCTGGTTGTATCATCAGAGAAGTAGCTGGTTGTATCATCAGAGAAGTAGCTGGTTGTATCATCAGAGAAGTAGCTGGTTGTATCATCAGGAAAGTAGCTGGTTGTATCATCAGGAAAGTAGCTGGTTGTATCATCAGGAAAGTAGCTGGTTGTATTATGGCTGGAGTGCTCAGCTCCTGTTTTCCTTGCAGGCTTTTGTCCCAGGCAGAGGTACCTTCCCCCGCCCCTCCTCATGTGGATGACTGGTAGTGTTTTCCTTACAGCACGCTGGCTCATTCAGTTGGTGTGAGGGAGCTGGCTGGATGGAGATGCTCCGGAAGCTTCATCAGTGGATGCCCCTCCCCCACTTTCAACACAGCTCCCAGCGTTCAGTGGAGCCTCGAAGAATGAGCCACATTGATGTGGCCAGGGCGGGAGGCACGGCACAATGCCGGCAATTATGCCAGATCGAGGACCTCGGTGGGGACAGCTTTTTGGGCCGTGGAAGCGGGGGCGGCCTCCAGCCCGCATGTGAGCTCGTGCCAGCTTCTTCCTAATGGGAATTCTCAGTGGGTGGCTCTGATGTATGACTTACAGCTGAGCCCGGAGAACATCTAATTTCCTTTGCAGCTCTCTTCCTCACAGATGCAATTACTGTAGTGAAATCTGGTCCAGGAGGATGGGATGGGATTCTATTTTAAGGTTATTTCTTTCCTTCTTAGGCCTGAATAGCCATTGTTAACCGCCCGGGCACCCTCCTGGATCCGTCCTTTGGGGCTTAATGCTCCAGCCCGTTAATTCTGCTCTTTAAATTCTCACAGGTGACTGCTCCCTGTCAGCCCCTTTGTCTTAACCTCATGGTTTAGTGCTGCTGTCCTCACTCCTGGTGTGCCCTGCATCATCGGGAGAGCTCTGCTATGGGCCGTTCGGGGTTGAGCACCTGATTCCCTACGCTCTGGAAGTGCACGGTACTCACTTGGTAGAGGATTTGCTAGAACCACAGTTCTCCCCCTGCTGGAACACTAGGAATCCCCTTGCTTCCTTTTTTTTTTTTTTTTTTTTTTTGAGATAGAGGCTGTCTCTGTCACCCAGGCTGAAGTGCAGTGGCACGATCACGGCTCACTGCAACCTCCGCCTCCCAGGTTCAAGTGATTTAGTAGAGACACGGTTTCTCCATGTTGACCAGGCTTGTCTCGAACTCCTGACCTCAGGTAATTCACCTGCCTCGGCCTCCCAAAGTGCTGGGATTACAGGCGTGAGCCATCACACCTGGCCCTTGCCTCCATGTTTAAGGGTGGCCCAGGTTGAGCTGAAAAGGCTGGGTCAGGACCGCTGGGCCTGGACACACAAGTGCTTCCTGTGTGTCCCACAGGCTCCCCAGCACCCGCAGGATGGGCCCGTTCTCCTAGTTTTACAGACACCAGGCTGAGAGACTGGGGTCCTCATCTCCCACCCACAGAAGTCTTCCCACTGTTAGTCCTCCCGGGAGAGGGGTGGGCTCGCCTGCTGAGGTCGCCATGGAGCCCACACGGGGCTTTCCCGTTCAGGCCTCTTGAGCCCTGCCATCTTCTGGGAGGGGAGTCGGAAAAGGTTAAGGACAAGAGATCCTCATCTGTGTTAGTCACAGGCCCAGAGTGGACAGTGGCCAGTTTCCTAGTTGAGAAGAGGACTTGGCCAATTGGGGGCCATGTTAGGCCCACTGCATTTTATTTCCTTAAAGACAATGTTTTATTTTTTTGTGTGCATTCGGGTTCAGATGCTAAGTGAGCTGTTTAGGAAATGTAAACATACATTCAAAATTGAATTATCTTTCCTTTTCTCGTGAGCCCCTACGACTTATTACAAATGAGATACAAAGGATTGTTTTTGATCTTGAACCCAACTTTGGCACAAAATTTGTCTTGCTGTGGATTTTCTTGTGGGTCTGGAACGAGCTTGCATCTGTTATCAAGTCTGCTCAGTGGCGAGAGGGAAGGGAGCCATGTTGAGGAGGGCGCTGGATGGGTCCTGGAGCTGAGGAGGGTGCTGGATGGGTCCTGGAGCTGAGGAGGGCGCTGAGACGGGCCCTGGAGCTGAGAAGGGCACTGGATGGGCCCTGGAGCTGAGGAGGCCACTGGATGGGCCCTGGTGCTGAGGAGGGTGCTGGATGGGCCCTGGAGCTGAGGAGGGTGCTGAGATGGGCCCTGGTGCTGAGGAGGGCGCTGGATGGGCCCTGGTGTTGAGGAGGGCACTGGATGGGCCCTGGTGCTGAGGAGGGTGCTGAGATGGGCCCTGGTGCTGAGGAGGGCACTGGATGGGCCCTGGAGCTGAGGAGGGTGCTGAGATGGGCCCTGGAGCTGAGGAGGGTGCTGGATGGGCCCTGGTGCTGAGGAGGGTGCTGAGCTGGGCCCTGGTGCTGAGGAGGGCGCTGGATGGGCCCTGGAGCTGAGGAGGGTGCTGGATGGGCCCTGGTGCTGAGGAGGGTGCTGAGATGGGCCCTGGTGTTGAGGAGGGTGCTGAGGTGGGCCCTGGTGCTGAGGAGGGCACTGGATGGGCCCTGGAGCTGAGGAGGGTGCTGAGATAGGCCCTGGTGCTGAGGAGGGTGCTGAGATGGGCCCTGGTGCTGAGGAGGGTGCTGGATGGGCCCTGGTGCTGAGGAGGGTGCTGAGATGGGCCCTGGTGCTGAGGAGGGCGCTGGATGGGCCCTGGTGCTGAGGAGGGTGCTGAGATGGGCCCTGGTGCTGAGGAGGGCGCTGGATGGGCCCTGGTGTTGAGGAGGGTGCTGAGATGGGCCCTGGTGCTAAGGAGGGTGCTGAGATGGGCCCTGGTGCTGAGGAGGGCGCTGGATGGGCCCTGGTGTTGAGGAGGGTGCTGAGATGGGCCCTGGTGCTGAGGAGGGTGCTGAGATGGGCCCTGGTGCTGAGGAGGGTGCTGAGATGGGCCCTGGTGCTGAGGAGGGTGCTGAGATGGGCCCTGGTGTTGAGGAGGGTGCTGGATGGGCCCTGGTGCTGAGGAGGGTGCTGAGATGGGCCCTGGTGTTGAGGAGGGTGCTGAGATGGGCCCTGGTGCTAAGGAGGGTGCTGGATGGGCCCTGGTGCTGAGGAGGGCACTGGATGGGCCCTGGAGCTGAGGAGGGTGCTGTGATGGGCCCTGCAGCTGAGGAGGGTGCTGTGATGGGCCCTGGAGCTGATGAGGGTGCTGCGATGGGCCCTGGCAGGTGTGTTCTTGGCCCACGCATGTTCTCAGCCCCAGTCTCATGTGCGCAGCCTCATTTCACCCTCACGGCAGCCTAACGAGATGGGCCTATTGTCCCCTGAGCCACAGAGAAGCAGCCCGGGAGGAAGGCCAGTGACTGACCTGGGTCACAGAGCAGCTGAGTCTGGATAAGACCTGGGCCCTGGCCCCTGAGACCATGCTCCCATCTGAGGCGGGTGTGAGTGCCGCGGGGCGGCGCCTTCCACCTCCATTGGCGTTGGTTGGCTGCTTGGTACCCAGGTTTCCCAACTTGAAGTTGAGTGCTTAGTGTAGACAAGGACAGCGAGTGAGTTCTGATGCTGCCCTCTGACTGGCTGTGTTACCTGGGGGATCCCATCTCCCACGGGAAGGGGACCCCTGTTCCCGGGACGACAGCAGGACTTGCAGGTGCCTTGGCTCCCAGGAGGTGAGCCGTGAGTGCTGGGGGGACCAGAGAGTGGTGGCCGGGCATGTGCAAGGGCCCAGGGGACCAGGAGGTGAGACCCCAGAGGCTGCTGAAGGAGCTGTGAGGACCCAGCAGGGGCAGCAGTGCGCAGTGCCAGGCCCCGCACTTCATCACGGGAAGCGACTGGAGATGTCACCTCATTTCAAGGTGGCCGGAAAGCTGTGGCTGCACACATCTTTACGTGGGGAAGGGAGAATGAACCCACTGGGAAGCGTGTGAAGAAGCCGTGGGAGGCAGAAACGGAGCTGCGTTTGGTTGTAAGGGATGGGGTGCTCATGGGTTTTGAGTGCCTGCTCTGTGAAGGGTCCCATGACACAGAAACAGGTGGAAGAGCGAGGCCTCCTCTCGGGAGCTGCAGGAGTGAAAATAAGGCTGTGCCAGGGAGGAGAGGGCCCCGGGTTCGCAGGGGCAGCCCAGCCTGTCCGGATCTCTGTGGCCTGACACCACCAAGTGAATTTCCTACTCACGCTCCATGTCTGGGGTCACCTGGGTGCTTGTGTACCCTGTCCCTCCGGGGCCTCCCACCCCATGAGCACACTGTCCCGTCACCCCTTCCCTGTGTCTCCGTGTCTGGGGTCACCTGGGCACTTGTCTGCACTGTCCCTCCGGGGCCTCCCACCCGTGACTCCACCAACACCCCTTCCCTGTGTCTCCGTGTCTTCTCCTCTCCCTACAGGGACGTCAATCACTACATTTAGGGCCCACCCTGGATCCAGATGATCTCACCTCAAGGTCCTTCAATAATGAGGTCTGCGAGGACCCTGTTTCCACGTAGTTACATTCCGAGGCTCTGGCTGGACATTCCCAGAGAAGTTAAGAGCCACTCGTGGTTTTGTTATTTCACTTTACCGAAGTTGGGGAAACCGAAGCTTAGGGAGGCTCACCTTGCTCAAAGCCTGTAGTTTGAGACAGACTGGGAGCCTCTGCCCTTGGTCACCCCACATGCCTCAGAGTCGCAGAACTTCAGGGCCAGAGGAAACCTTAACTGGAGCTGGAAGTGGGCTCACAGGTGTCTACTCTGTCACTTCATCCCACGAGAAGGAGATTAATTCTCCTGTCTGTAGTCACCTGGGTACTCGGGGATGAGACGAGGGTGACTCTGGCATCGTGACCTCATTCTGTGTCCTTTCCCCCACATCTCCTGCCTTCGGGATGACAGCTGTGTCCTGAGTGTCGTGTTAGGTTGACATTTTGGTGTCGGGAGAGGCTCTCTAGAGAGGGAGCGGGCCTTGTGTGGTGAGGGTAGCTTGTCAGATGCTTGAAGGCAGAGAGGGTTTGGGGAGGTGGCTCAGACATGGGCTGTTTTTCTTTTTCTTAAATGGAGGGAAGGTGGCCAGAGACTGTGGAGGTCACCCGGATGAACTCCAGGTCTGCCTGCAGCCGTAGGAGGAAACCGAAGGAGTGATCAGGCTGAATCTGCGGGGACGCCTCGGAGCCACCCAGGCTGTTCAGCGAACCTCAGGCAGCTGGGGCTGTGGGGGCACACCCCATCTTCTCAAGTTTTCAGAAAACTTTGGAAGGCAAGTTCATGGAAGCTGCTCAAAAAAACACTAGCTTTATTATTATTTTTTAAAGCCAGATTTTTTGAGAGGCGACGTCAACACATCTTCTCAGCTCTTTATGTCAATTCTTAAAACACTTGCCAGATTCTGCAGGACAGTTCTGAATGTCGGCATGCTCTGTGAGGGCACCTGTTCTTCAGAGCGAGGGTCTGAGGGGGCCTGCGCGATCCCTACCTGGCCCCTTCCCTGGCAGGTGAGGTTGAAAGCCAGTGGAGGTTTTCTGTTGTTAGAGACCCCCGGAACCCTCACAGCCACCCTTTGGTTCACATAGAGGAGGGGCTTGGATGCTTCGTAAATTCTCCTGCCGGAGTTTGAGCTGCTTTAACCACGGTCCTTTTCAGGCATGTTCATAACATGGAAACCAGCTTCAGAAGGCAGCCCTGGGGAAATTGACCTGACTCTATCTGTTAGCAGCAGCCACTCTTTCCTTCCTCAGACTGACCAGGTCTTCTGTGCCCTCTCCACGCTCATGCCTGGGTAGGTCCTGGGTAGGTCCACGCTTATGCCTGGGTAGGTCCTCTCCTAAGCTGAGGACTGCCCACCTCCCCAGCCTGCTCACTGCCTGCTCCTGCACACATCTCCCCATATGCTGCCAGGGCCAGCCCTGAACACAGGCAATGGCTGGCTTCTGGCTGCAGAGGTCAGCGTGGGCCCCACAGGATCTGCCATCTCCAGGAGCCCCTTTGGAGGTGAGGCCCCAGGTGAGCCCCAAATGAGTAGATGCACTGCAGTCTGCATCTACTCATTAACGTAAACCAAGCATTACCTGCGGGGGCTTCTCATGAATGAAAACAGAACTTTCAGGGTGTTACGAAAATGATATGATTGTGTACATAAAGCACTGAGCTTGGAATCTGGTCTGGGAGGATGATCTTTTGATTTTTTTTTTTTTTTAATTAAGGAGAGCAAAGTCATTACTAGAATGTATAGCAAATATGGAGGTTAACTTTGTATCGTTTAAGTCATGTTTGTGGTAACAGAGTTTTAGGCTGTGTTTGGTGTCAATGTTAATATGACTGGGGTGAGTCGTGTCAATGTTAATATGACTGGGGTGAGTCCAGTGTTGACGTTAGCAGCGTTTTATCTCAAGCATATGTGACGTTGATCAAAATGTGAACTTTTGATCCGATTCTCCTTCCTACCCCACTGGCTTAGTTATTGCTGTAGTCCGGTCACGAAGGGTGGTCACACGTTTGGTGTATTTCTGCAAACACGGAGGAAACACCTTATTTATATTATGCAATTTACCTTTTCTTATCATTTGGACTTTTTCTGAGCCCATCAAATTGCTTGTTTTATGATTTTGATTTTGCAACACAGTAATAAATGTCATTTTCTGGAAATAAGTAATGAACATCTGCTTCCTCTGAAGATGCAGTATGAGTCCACCACGTGCAGTTCTCACAGGCAGGGACCCACCTCCGGGCTGATACACAGTGGTGACGGTTTTCTTCTTCTTCCTCTTCTTCTCTTAAAAGTCTATTTGAAAAATTCCACTGTAGAGAAAGCTACTGTAATCTGCTCCTTAAGAAGATTTGGCCTAGGAAGAAGAAAATCATCCTTTATACTTTTGGCTTATTAAATTGAAAAATATGCATAGTGGTGTTCTTATTAATTTATTCATGATTTTATTAATGTTTAATGCTGCCTCTGGTGTTGTCTGCTTTCAATACCAAAGAAAATGCAAAGGCACATTTGATCATGTGTGTTTCAGATCACAGGATCTCGTGTGTTTCTCTTCTAACACTGAAGGCCACCAGATGTCAGTGTAACTTAACAAATCACATCCTACATGTCACGTTGACTTCAGCATTTGGTCTAAGTGTTGCCTTTTCCTTTCCTATTTCAACTTCTGAAGATGAAGAGGGACTTTAAGGGAATTTGCACACAAGCTCCATAGACTTGAGTCATTGGATATCTTCTGAAGATGAGGAGGGACTTTAAGGGAATTTGCACACAAGCTCTGTAGACTTGAGTCACTGGACATTGTGGGAGATGCCTTTTTGCTTTTGCTGTTTCCAAACCTCCCAGCTAATCACGCCATGAACTCATGGTCCCTCCACTGAGCACGGCGATGGTTCCACATCGGCTTCGTGGCAAGGACGGATTCCAGGTTGGGGCTGCAGCCGGGCTCTGCTTGAGCGGCCCAGGGTCTTCTGTCTCAATCCAGGACCCAGGACGCAGGATGCAGGACGCAGGACCCAGGACCCAGGACCCAGGACGCAGGACGCAGGATGCAGGACCCAGGACCCAGGACGCAGGACCCAGGACCCAGGACCCAGGACGCAGGACGCAGGACCCAGGACCCAGGACGCAGGACCCAGGACACAGGACCCAGGACGCAGGACGCAGGACCCAGGACGCAGGACGCAGGACGCAGGACCCAGGACGCAGGACCCAGGACCCAGGACCCAGGACGCAGGACGCAGGACCCAGGACCCAGGACGCAGGACCCAGGACCCAGGACCCAGGACCCAGGACCCAGGACGCAGGACCCAGGACGCAGGACCCAGGACCCAGGACCCAGGACGCAGGACCCAGGACCCAGGACGCAGGACCCAGGACGCAGGACCCAGGACCCAGGACCCAGGACGCAGGACCCAGGACCCAGGACCCAGGACCCAGGACCCAGGACCCAGGACGCAGGACCCAGGACCCAGGACCCAGGACGCAGGACGCAGGACCCAGGACCCAGGACCCAGGACCCAGGACGCAGGACGCAGGACCCAGGACCCAGGACCCAGGACGCAGGACGCAGGACCCAGGACCCAGGACGCAGGACCCAGGGCTGGGCTTGTCTGCAGCCCGACCTCCTCACAGGCGGATGTTGGTTCTCTTGCTGGGTCTCCCTGGAGGGTTCCTTGCTGACAGCCTGAGCACGCTCAGCCTTGCTCATTGTTCAGGGCTGGCAGCTCCATGTTTGCTGTGGGCGAGGCCTGTGCAGGACAGACTTTGTCCAGTATTTACAGCATTTTCCTGATTCCATGTTGAGAGATAAAGCAATTTGCCTGGAGTGCCTGCTGTGATCCTGGAGCTCTGTCATCCAGGGTCTGTTTATAACAGCAGAGGAACGAAATGAGCCGAAACACAAATCTAATACAAAAAAACAAAATCAGGAGCATTTTTGAAGTTTAGCCAGGTATCCAGGAGGCAGTCAGCCACTTATCCAGTGGCATGGGGATGAGAGGTAGTCTTCTAGAGGTGTGTGAACAGGGCAGGTCTCAGGGCATGGTCAGTGTCACATGCCAGCGAGTGGCTGCAGCAGGACTCAGGTCCGCGGGAGAGACTGGGGAGGCTTCCAGAGCGGCACCTGCCCTGGGGAAGGAGCCGATGATGATGCAGGGGGCTCCAGGCATGACCAGCTCTTCCTTCCTGAGATAAGCACCACTGCGGGATCTCAGTGTGCAGCCACATGTCTCATGGATGAGCCACCGGGATCTCAGTGTGCAGCCACATGTCTCACGGATGAGCCACTGCAGGATCTCAGTGTGCAGCCACATGTCTCACGGATGAGCCACTGCGGGATCTCAGTGTGCAGCCAAATGTCTCACGGATGAGCCACCGGGATCTCAGTGTGCAGCCAAATGTCTCACGGATGAGCCACCGGGATCTCAGTGTGCAGCCAAATGTCTCACGGATGAGCCACCGGGATCTCAGTGTGCAGCCAAATGTCTCACGGATGAGCCACCGGGATCTCAGTGTGCGGCCACGTGTCTCATGGATGAGCCACTGCGGGATCTCAGTGTGCGGCCACGTGTCTCACGGATGAGCCACCGGGATCTCAGTGTGCGGCCACGTGTCTCATGGATGAGCCACTGCGGGATCTCAGTGTGCGGCCACGTGTCTCACGGATGAGCCACCGGGATCTCAGTGTGCAGCCACGTGTCTCACGGATGAGCCACTGCGGGATCTCAGTGTGCGGACACGTGTCTCACGGATGAGCCACTGCGGGATCTCAGTGTGCGGCCACGTGTCTCACGGATGAGCCACTGCGGGATCTCAGTGTGCGGACACGTGTCTCACGGATGAGCCACTGCGGGATCTCAGTGTGTGGCCACATGTCTCACGGATGAGCCACCGGGATCTCAGTGTGCGGCCACATGCATGGATAAGCCACTTGTGGTCGTGGTATGCAGCATTTCACTTTGCTTCTGGGAAGGTTTTCCGAGTTTTCCAAGTGCAGGCTCCACACACAGATAAGTTTCACTGTATTAAGAGTATAGAGGGCCGGATCTTGGTTGGATTCAGAAAAGTAGTTATTAAAAATATCTGATACCACATAACTGGATAAATCGTCTCTTGCTGCAGTAAAGTGTTGTGCATGCCCCGTTTCTTAGCAAGCTTGCGGAGGCTTTGTTTGTTGTTCCCTTCCAGTGTGGAGGAGAGACGGTCGGACGCTGCAGCTCTGTGTTGTGTCCTTATCAGGCATCATGCTAAAAAAACATTTCCTCCAGGGGGCTGTTTGTGAAAGGCAAGATTTTCAGAGGTTTTAAATGGGAGGATTTCAGCCCTCCTGGACCAAGCCTCTGCTTGGAGCTAACATCGAAGCTTTCAGAGAGTTTTCCTATAGCTAGGGTGGCCTCTGTGGCCATGCCTGACCTTCGTCTAGGTGTTGGCATTGCTAGGACCCCAAAATCCTAGGGGATGTGACACCCAGGAATTCTAGAGATCTCCCAGGCACCCCGGGAGGATGTGGACTCCAGGCATCCTAGGGGGTGTGGATGTTCGTGATGCTGTCTTTGTGGATGGGGAAACCCTGTAACAACTTAGCTCCTGCTGGGGCCAGGGAGCTGGGGCCGGGGAGCTGAGGCCGAGGAGCTGGAGGCCAGGGAGCTGGGGGCCGGGGAGCTGGGGGCCGGGGAGCTGGGGCCGGGGAGCTGAGGCCGAGGAGCTGGAGGCTGGGGAGCTGAGGCTGAGGAGCTGGAGGCCAGGGAGCTGGGAGCTGGGGAGCTGGGGCCGGGGAGCTGGGAGCCAGGGAGCTGGGGCCGGGGAGCTGAGGCCGAGGAGCTGGAGGCCAGGGAGCTGGGGGCTGGGGAGCTGGAGGCCGGGGAGCTGGGGCCGGGGAGCTGGGGGCCGGGGAGCTGGGGGCCAGGGAGCTGGAGGCCGGAGAGCTGGGGGCCGGGGAGCTGAGGCCGGGGAGCTGGAAGCCGGAGAGCTGGGGGCCGGAGAGCTGGGGGCCGGGGAGCTGGAGGCCCGGGAGCTGAGGCCAAGGAGCTGGGGGCCGGGGAGCTGAGGCTGGGGAGCTGGAGGCCGAGGACTGCAGGCCCTGGCTTGTGTTTCTGGCACAGGACTCCCGAGTGACTGGTGTTGTTGGGGTGGATATAACCAAACAGGGATTTAAGGAATGCAGCCAGCAATTGCCCAAAGCCACGTCCCCTGGGGAGCCCCCGTCCTCACGGGTCCTGGTGTCTTCATCCTGTGGACTGGCTCAGCCTGGCCTCAGCGCCTGCCCCGGGGTCAGCAGGTTAAGGGGTCCACAGCCCCTGCAGCAGGAGGTTTTAATGCCTGAACTGGAGAACCTTCAAAGGCACACACAGAATCTCTGTCTCCTCAGCATCCTCCCATCAAAGTCTGTCCGCATGTGTTCCTGGCTAGTGGCTCAGGAAAGGTCTGACGTCTTCCCACGTGTGACACAGCAGCACAAACCTCCAGCACGTGTCCCCACCCTGCACACAGGTGTTCTGGTGACGTCCAGTGAAAGGGTCACTTATAAGCCTTGGGGCCACAGTGTGTCCTGATTAAGCGATGTTTGTAAAGTTGATCTCTCCTATTGTCACGGCGATACCTTTTATTATAGAAAGTCCAGAGGCTGCAAATCACCAGGAAAAGACTGCGCATGCTGGGATTCCCCCACCACAACGTCTTCGTGTCATTTTTGTGTCTGTCCTAATGGACTTCCTTTTCTTTGGTAAGGACATGAGTAATTATAAAAATGGAATTGTAGTGTTTCTTGTGACTTTTACCCTACATTTTAAACCTCATTACCTTAATTAGGTGACTTTTTGTGCTAGCTAAAGGCATAAAGCAAATATTCATTTCCCCCTTTCCAGCCATCATGGTTTTTTCCAAAGTGCATCATCCCAGCATCAGAATTTCAGAACTCTGGGGGAATCAAGATTCAGCCTCGTGGGGTTTTGGGAGTTTTCAGAGTGGGGGTGCAGGACCCCTCCCCGAGTGGGTCTTGGTGTGCGATCCTCAGACCCCAGGCACTCGCAGTCCCGGCTGCCGCACTGCCTGCCTGCTGCCCACCTTAGCCCACTTCCAGTCCGACAGGCAGCGTGAACAGAAGTGACCTCTCTGTGGTGATTGACGTGCCACCAGAGTGGCCCTTGGAGTAACAAAGGCCACACCCAGGGGTTTGGGCCTAAATGTGCTTGCTCCGGGCACGATTCTCAAACCTGGAGCCCATGAGGATTACCTGGGAGCTGTTGCAGAACGAGGGCAGCTGGGCCTGTGCCCGGGCCTGTCCAGGGTTGCTGGGGTGGGGCCTGCATGTCAGGGTGGAATCCTTGCCACTCCTGCCTGCAGCCTGGTGGAGACATGCTCTTCAGGTCAGCTCTGGTTATTTACGTTTTCACATCAGTACGGCAGGGCCTGCATGGGTGCGTTTGTGTCTTTCACTTGGCTTCCTGCTGGTGAGGGGTCTGCTGGCAGAGGTGCTCACATGTGCTCCCCTGGCCTGATGGGGCAGGTTTCTCTCTGGCCACGTGCCCACGTGCATTCTGTCTGCTCAACCTCCCAAGTGCACAGCTTGAAGGTGGTCCAGACCTTAATGTGGGGGGATTTTCACCAAAACCCTGTGGTGTCTCCAAACAGAGCGAGAATGAACCCCCTGGGAAGCATATGAAGAAGCCGTGGGAGGCAAACGGAGCTGTGTTTGGTTGTAAGGGATGGGGCTGCTCATGGGTTTTCAGTGCCAGCTCTGGGAAGGGTCCCTTTGCTGTGGAGAATCACAGAGGAGGCTTTTCTTTTCTGACCTGCTGCCCCTGCACCCCATGATTCTCCCTCATCAGAGTTTTGCTTTCTGCTGGGCAAAGCCAGGAAGGGACAGACAGTCCCTGGCCTGGGTTGAGCCCCCACCACCCTGTCCCTCCACCGTGGGACCAGAGCTGTCCATGACACCACCCTGCCTGGCCATGGCCCTTGGATCCCTCTAGGGCGGGCGCAGGGTCCGGAGAGCAGGCACGACAGCTGCAGACACCCAGACCTTCCCTTCCCTGCAGGAACATCGCAGGGCTTGCCCAAGGCCGCATGGACAGCTGCATTGGAAGGAGACTCATCGATGACTCTGCATTTTGGGGCTTTAATTTATCTGCCAAATATGGAGTAAGCCCCTGGCACGTGGGATATTGGAGTCTCAGCAGTGTGCACAGCAGAGTCTTGTCTCCATGGAGTTGGAGGGCGCTGACTCCCACCAACGTAAATTCAGTGCAGATGCAAAATTAGCAGAGAAGAGGGCGTGGGGTGCACTGGCCAACAGCATGAGCCAGCCCCACCTCCGAGAGTCAAGGTGAAGCTCTGAGGCAGGTGCTCATTTGCGAGCTGGAATGCATGTGTGTACAGAGGTTGTACCCCCAGATTTCCAATTTGGGGAGGTGCTGGGGCATGTGCCTCCTAGTGCCGTGGACAGCTCAAAAGTCAGCACCTGTATACCCTGGTCCTGTGTCTGGCTGGTCCCTGAGTCCCACAAGATGTATGTGGACTTGTTGTGAGCCACTCTCCCACCGGGCTGTCCTCCGGGGTTCTCCCTTTTCCCAGGTGTGTTTGGAGGGGGTGGCTGGATGTGCTGACTCCTCATCTCCTCTCTTTCACACCCCGTGTCCCGCCTCTCCCTGACCCTGCTGGGCACCGGTCAGACCCCCTTTCCTCATCTCTCTTTCACACCCCGTTTCCCACCTCTCCCTGGCTCTGGGCACCGGCCAGACCCCCTTTCCCAGATGGGAACTTGACTGGCGGTCTGGATGGAGAGAGGCCTGGGAGGTCTGGGCGGCAGTGTGGACATCTCTATGGATTCAGGCACCCCTGCTCTCGTTTTGTCTTCCCTCCACTGGGCACCTGCTGGTTTCCAGGCTGCCGTCAGTCCCCTGAGCCCCTCTGTCTTCCCAGCTTCTCCCTTAGGAATTACCAGCCATTCGTCCTTTTGTTTTCCTTTCAGCCCCTTCAAATTTTGTCTCGGGAATAATTTTGTGCATTATCAGATCATCAAGATATTTTACTAAAGACATTTCTTCCTAAGAATTTAGTTATTAAACTAGCATTTCCCTTTTTGAGTTCCTCTTATGGTAACAGCTCTTCACTAGAATGCCTGGGACCCAGTGTGTCATGGCAACCATGGGGCTGTCCCATGGCAGCCCCACTCCTGCACTAGGCCAGGGTCTCTCTGCCTCCACGCTGCTCCCTTGGGGTCCATCGTGTCTTGGCACCCGTGGGGCCGTCCCGTGGCAGCTTCGCTTCTGTGCTGGGCCAGGTCTCTCTGCCTCCATGCTGCTCCCTTGGGGTCCAGCGGCTCCTGGGTGGCAGCAACACAGAGAAGGAGCTTCCGGTCTATTTTCTCCCTGGTGGAGGTCTCTGAAGATTTTTCACTGCTGGAAAAAGAGGAAGAAGCCCAGTAAAAATAACAAACGAGGGGATGGAGCCTCCATACACACAGCCTTCCTTGCTCACGGGATGAGCCTGGGTCTGAGGGGCTTGGAGCCCGCCTTCCAGGTGAACTGTCAGAGGGTCAGGAACCCGGAGAGCCCCTGGCACCGCAGGCATCACTGCTGCCTCCGTCATCAGGCCCCACGTCCCTCTTGTGCTTGCTGGTGGCGGTGCCGCTTTCTCTTTTAGATTCTGCATCTCGTGCGTGTCGGTTCCTGGGTGATGAGCGGCCTTGGCCACAGGAGGCGGAGCAGGGCCCACCGCAGTCGGGGAAGCTCTGGGTTTGCTGTCTGCTCGGCTTTCCTCGTGAGGTTCTTTACAGGATGTTCTTTACAGGATCTGGGGGAATGCGGGGGGTGGGACGGGGGCTGCTGGTTGGTGTTTGAGGAGCTCACCTGCAGGCAGGACGTGTCCTGAGGATCCGTCTCAGCTGCATGGCAGGCATGGAGCAGGGCTGCCTCCGTTTGTGTAGAGGATGCCTGCACTCCAGAGAGGCTCTGAGGTTGGCCTGAGAGGCTCTGTCTGCATTTGTGGCTGGGACCACGGTGTCCTGTGCTGAGGCTGGTCTCAGTTGCTGGGGAGATGCTGCCTTGGGACCTGCAAGAGGGCAACTCCCAGCGCCCCTCACTTTCACCCCAAGGAGAATCGTAGCTGAGATGACAAAGCGCATCTTGTGTTCTTGTTAGATGTGTGTTGGCTTCATAATGATGCAGCATAATGATGTCAGGATGGCTTTGGAGCTCAGAGAAATGGGCTTGAGCCACCATAAAGCAATCCCGTTGGACTTAATGGCTGTGATTTTGTTGTGGTGATGTCAGGAGGCTTTCTGTCCAGTTTCTGAGGAGCTGTGTGTCTGGTAGACACAGAGCAATAAAGCAAAACAAAAACAAAGCCAGAATGCTGCTCCAGCCTGAGTGTGGGGGAGATGGGACAGCATGGGTTCTGTGCATGACGACTGCCCTGTCCACATAGGGTAGCGCATCTGCTTGGTTCAAAAGTGACTAAGACATTGGTCTTCAAAAAATATCCATCAGTTACGTCATTTCTTTTGGCAAAATTCTTGATGTTTGTGGGGGCCTCGTAAGTTTAGGCATCCTCATTAAAACCTCTAAAGACTGTCAGAAAGCACAGCTTTAACGATGACATAAAGGCATCTGTTACATGAGAAAAGCGTTTACTTCCTCTCCTCACCCCAGTATGAAAGGTGGCCTGAGTACCCTGCAGGTGTGGTCACAGCAGATCTCTTGCATGCAGGGAGTTTGGCAAACCCAGACTGGTGCTGGTCTGCAGACTCGCCGCCCCTCCCAGCTTCGCTCCCTGTGGGACTGCAAGTGCCTGGGGACTAATGAGTCCCGCTTCCCACTCCCCTTGCTGGGAGAGCTCCAACTGACGGCCAAGGAGTGAGCGTTTAAATACCTCAGCTACACCACCCCTTGAATGGGATGGTTCCGGTGCAGTAGGAGCTGGCTGGTGATGCACCTTTCACTGGAAACCCAACCTTCCTTGTCACACTTTTTTTCTTTTAAAAATTTCCTCCTCTCCCCTCCCCTTCCATTCCCTTGTTTCTTTTCCTTCTTTTCTTTTCTTTCTTTTCTTGAGACAGGATCTTGCTTTATCACCCAGGCTGCAGTGCAGTGGCTTGATCATAGCTCACTGCAGCCTTGACCTCCTGGGCTGAAGTAATCCTCCTGCCTCAGCCTCCTAAGTAGCTGAGACCACAGGCAGGAGCTACCATGCCTGGCTAATTTTTAAAAATGATTTTATAGAGACAGAGATCTCACTTTGTGGCCCAGGCTGTTCTCAAACTCTTGGACTCAAGTGATTCTCCTGCCTTGGCCTCCCAAAACACTGAGATCACAGGTGTGCACTACCACACCTGGCCAACTACAATTGTTTCTTATTCCAGGTCTGCTTCTGTGGGAATAGAAATAGAGAAAATTTTTCCCAGTGAAACTGCTCAGCAGGGTCTCCTATACTGACACCCACTTTCAACAATTCACCAGGTGACACAATTCTAAATCAGCTCTTTGTGCCCCTTATTAAATATGAGCAGGCATCCCAGGATCACTGGACACTTATGGAAAGCCTCTAATGAAAGAGCCCTGACAGCCACATGGAAGAAGACAGCATGAAATGAAGAGAGACTATGGACACTAAGCAAATACATAAGACATGTATAACTCCAGGAAAAACAAGAAGACACTGTGAAAGGAAGAGACACTGTGGACACTAAGCAAATACATAAGACATTTATAACTCCAGGGAAAACAAAAAGAAAAAAAATTAATACTAGTCACAGCGTACTACATAGCCTAG
The DNA here is from genome assembly GCF_000001405.40 of Homo sapiens. Taxonomy (NCBI): domain Eukaryota; kingdom Metazoa; phylum Chordata; class Mammalia; order Primates; family Hominidae; genus Homo; species Homo sapiens. The sequence goes on from NT_187560.1 coordinate 78,240, forward strand.
TTGGGGATAGCATTTACAAAGTCACAATATTGTAAGCACATAATACTGATCTGATGAAAATTGTAATGTAACTAAACTGGGAAAGAGAAAGTAAGCTTGGAAACAGTGATGTGTTATGGAGAGGTAGGCCCATCTTCTGTAGCAGTCAGAAAATAGATACATCCTAAATCTGAAAGCTGAGAAATGGCAACGTGAATGTGTCATGTGGAGATATGGAGATGAAAACCAAGAGTCAGCTAAATGAGTTGAGGGTGCTTACCTCTGGGGAGTAGAAATGCGGGTGGGGAAAAGGTGGGTTAGAGGTTTGCTCATTTCCCCAACCAGACTTAGATTTTTCAAACTATGTGCAAGCATGATGTTTAAAAATAAACCCTAAAATAAGAAGAGAGAGTTAACTTTGACAACGGCAATAACAGAACAAAGAATGTACTTTATGTATGTTTTCTTTGTTCTTTGTTTACCCCATTCTAGCAATGCAGAAACAGTTAGAAGACACTCACCGAGCCCCACCTGGCTTCCCACCTGTGACCAGGTGAGGCAACAGTGTGGGGGAGGATGAGGCAGCTGCCCTCGGCATTGCCTGTGGCAAGGCCAGCAACACAACCCAGGAAAGGGGACCGTTTTCAGTGTCTAGTGGGATAATAATATCTAGCATTTACTGGGCATACTCAATCTTGCTACCACCCTGGTTTTGAAAACACAAATCTGTTCAAATGCAGTTGATACATGGGGGAGCACTTTGTGCATGATGTAATTTTGCATTCTCCTATGAATGATGAATGACGGGTTGCTAGTCTGGTTGAACAGTTACAGATGGATTTGTAAGCTAGACAGTGTCCCTCAGGACCATGGAATGTGTGGATGTATCAGCACTACAGAATCTTCGAGTCTGCAAATTTTCCCAGCCTCAGGATCAGTGGGGACTCATCATCCTCTCATTTCCCTGCTTTGGTTCCACCCTCAGTGGCCGTCCCTCCGGTTCCTACTCCTTGTTATCATGCACACCTCGATTTACGTTCATGGCATTGGAAAACCCTCCTGTTTGATTGTTACTGTCAGGCCGTGGCACCCTGCTTGTGCTTTTCAATTTGTTTTGTTTTGCTTTGCACAGTTGTGTGTGCATGTAGCTGTTTTTATTCACTGTTATACTTTTATTCTGTATTTGTTTCCTGTTTCTTTTGGTCAAGAGGCCTCACAAGGCATCTTCTCTGCAGGGGAGGAGACTCAGCCCTGAGAGGGATGTTGTTGTCATGTGGAAGTGGAGGCACAGAGTGACTGGGGGGTGGGGAGGGAGTGGCAGGACAGGCCCAGACCTGCCCAAATGGTATGACATTTCGGCCCCCAGCTTTCCTGGGTGGAGCCCTGTGCTGTCCCTATTTTGAGCTGGGGCAGGACACACTATTTCTCTGGAAGGGAAGGTGAGGGTGCAGGGCACAGGAGGAGTGTTTGTTTGGGCCTCCAGAGCTGGTCTCGATCTGAGGACCTGCTTCATGTCAGCCCTGTCCCCTGGCCACTTGGAGGGCAACCCTGAGGCTGGTTCACAACTGCTCGGGGGTCCTGCCGCTGGGAGGGCTGGTTCACAACCGCTGAGGGTGTCTGGATGCAGGCTCCTGGCAGCATCCTGGATGGGCGCAGCTCATGTGGTTCTCTGCAGAGTGGCCCCACATTGGGCACAAGCCCCTGTCCCTACCTCGGAGGGCATCTCCTGCATTACCCAGGAAGTGAGCCTCTCTGAATCTTGTTTGCTTTGAGATTACGCAAGGAAGGAAAAAATGCTGAAGTGTAAGTTTTGAGGGTGTGAGGCATAGTTTAAATCAGGGAGGCACTCTTACAGCAGATGGCCTTTCAGAATAATTAAAAGAGCAAATTAAAAGAGCAAATTGAAAGAGCACTTCAGCGGGGCCTGGGTCTCCACAGAGGACAGGATGTCGGTTTGTTTCAAAAGACAGAAAATAAAGTTTCTTTCCAAAGCTGCAATTTCCTTGAGGCCATTGTACCATCATGTCACAAGCTCGTGTACTTTTTCCTTGTCTTGGGGCTTTTACAGTGTTCTCTGGGGGCTATTTCTGGGCTCTCAACAGTCTTATTTTGGGAACCACTGCTGAGCTGCTTGGCATTCTCTACAGCTGTTGTGGCAAAACAGGACAGACCCCGAGGCGGGTCACCGCTGGTGTGTGCAGGTGGAGGCGGCTTGGGGAGATGGTATGCGCACACACACACATGCACACATGTGCACACACAAACATGCACACACACGTGCACACAAAGCACACACAAGCCTACCCTGTGAGAACGGAGCTGCCCCAGTTCCCTGAGTGCCCCCTTCAGAGCTCTGGGTGGCCTCTAACATCCTGGCTGCTTGTCCATCCCCCTGAGCACAGGAAGCGGGCAAGGCACAAAACTCACTCGGCGAGGAGGGGAGCAGCTCGCTCCCTCCACATGTGCATGCATGTGAACAAAATCACATGCATGTACACGCGTGCACACACGTGACACATTCATGCACACACACGTGCACATGTACACACACACACAGACTTCACCTCACGATGCTGTCACCTTTTTGTGTGTCTCTTTAAAGGTCTTTTTGTTTTGATTCCTTTTGCGGGTTTGAAATAGAGATATATGCATTAATCATTTCCCCAGCACTACACTTTTATTGTTTTAAACGGCTTCTTTGTGTGTGTGTGTGAAAATGCTCAAAAGGCCTTTGACAATGACGGTGAGAAAACCAGCCCTGGCTGGGCGCTGTCTCCCGTTAGGGAGTGCCTCCTCAGCCCACGTGGCACTGGCTGCCCGCTGCCCTGTGCGTGTCCCGGCCTTCGCTGCCTCTGCAGCCTGGGAGCTTGGTCTCTGGTTGGGGAGGCCAGGGCCAGCCTGCGATGTGGCTGTTGAGAAGCTGTGCGTGCCTGGGCCAGGGCAGCAGCTCTGCCCCATGGGTCGCGGCGGGACTGGGATGAGGCCCCACTCTCACCTCTGTGACCAGGGGGCAGAGGGAAGTCTGTAGCCCGACCTCACCTGCTGCAGGCTCCGAGCTCCCCCTCCAGGCTGGGCCCTCCATGGCGCTCTGCCCGAATTCGGGGCTGGTGGGATCCAAGGCGGCGCAGGCCGGGAGCCCTCGCCCCTCGCCCCTCGCGCCTCACCCCTCGCCCCTCGCGCCTCACCCCTCGCCCCTCGCGCCTCACCCCTCGCCCCTCTCCCCTCTCCCCTCGCGCCTCGCCCCTCGCCCCTCGCCCCTCGCCCCTCGCGCCTCGCCCCTCGCGCCTCGCCCCTCGCCCCTCTCCCCTCGCGCCTCGCCCCTGGCCCCTCGCCCCTGGCCCCTCGCGCCTCACCCCTCACCCCTCACCCCTGGCCCCTCGCGCCTCGCCCCTCGCCCCTGGCCCCTCGCGCCTCACCCCTCACCCCTCACCCCTGGCCCCTCGCGCCTCGCCCCTCGCCCCGCACCCCTCGCCCCTGGCCCCTCGCCCCTCGCCCCTCGCCCCTGGCCCCTCGCGCCTCACCCCTCGCCCCTCACCCCTCACCCCTCGCGCCTCGCCCCTGGCCCCTCGCCCCTCGCGCCTCCCCCTCGCCCCTCGCCCCTGGCCCCTGGCCCCTCGCGCCTCGCCCCTCGCCCCTCGCCCCTCACCCCTCGCCCCTCACCCCTCACCCCTCACTTGTGCAGGGACAGCCCTGGGCGCAGGTGCCCGCACGGGGGATTCAGGTCGAGACCGCGCCTGCGTGCCATCTAGCGGCCGTGCTCGGGTACTGCAGCCCCTCCACCCCAGACTCCGGAGGCTCCTGGAAGGTGGGTGAACCTTGCAGACCACCCAGGCGAAAACGCGGCTACTTACTCAGGCTGGCGGGAACGAGGGGTCAGTCACTGTCCCTCGTGCTTGGCAAAGACTCAGGCAGGTAGAGGAGCCGAAGTTTTACAGCAGAAAGGGCTGGTTGGCCCAGGTGTCGTGTGGACGGGCAGGGCCTCCTGAGTGCTGGCTGGGGTGCCCCCGGCTTTCTCTGGCTGACGCGTTGCAGAGATGCGGCCTGCACAGCCTGGCCGCTGTCCCACTGTCCCTGTGACGATTCGGTCTCTTTTGGGCACACGGTAAATGCCTCTGGTCAGGGCTGTTTAGGAGGTGAGGGTGTCGGGTCTCCAACACTGAGTCAGGTGGAGGGGCAGCCCCTGCCGCACACCCTCTGTGTTTTTGTGAGTTGCCTACAGTCCTTGTCGCCCCGTCCTGAATGCTGGAAGCTTTGACGCTAGCTCGTCTTCCTTTCTTAGGCCCCCAGCAGCAAAAATCTGCTCCCCTCATCAATGAGTGAGTTTTGTGCCTTGACACTTTCTGCGCCTGGGGGGATGGACGAGCAGCCAGTACTTAGAGACCACCCGGAGCTCTGAAGGGGGTGCTCAGGGAACCAGGGCTGCTCCATTCTCACCAGGTGGGCTTGGACAGCCACGGGGGCTCATCCCCGACCTGCCAACCTGGGTCACTCCTGGTGAGGCAGCAGCATCCCCGTCGCAGGCTGGGACAGCAGTTCCACAGGTGTTCCCTGCACACACCTGTGCCTCTCACACTTCCGTGGCCTCCAATGCCCTCCCTGTGGCCCTGAAAGCAGCCATGGATTTTTGTGCCAAGAAAAATTATACCTGCTCCTTGGTGGGGGAGCCAGAGGGGAGCCAGGCGTCTATGGGGGACAGAGTGGGGCCAGTGGTCCACAGGGAACAGAGAGGTCCAGGCATCTGTGGGGGACATAGGGGAACCACGCATCCGTGGGGGACAGAGGGGGTCCAGGTGTCCGTCGGGGACAGAGGGGTTGAGGTGTCCGTGGGGGACAGAGGGGGTCCAGGTGTCTGTGGGAGAGAAGGGTCCAGGCATCTGTGGGGTACAGAGGGGGGCCACGCATCTGTGAGGGACAGAGGGGGAGCGAGGTGTCCATGGGGGTGGGACATTGTTACCCAGGATGCCAGTGGATGGGCTGATGGCACAGTTTAAGGGGTGAGAGATGAAGGGTGGGGGTCCCAGAGCAGTGGTGTCCTTGGGGTTTGGGTTTGATTGTGTGTTAGGGGACGTGGCCTTGGCTGGGGAGGGAGGTGATGGAAGGTGATATACATTGAACCCAGGCTGCTCACCACGTTTGAGAAGCCCCTGAGTGATGTTCCATCATGAAGACGGTGTGGGCTTCCTTGAAGTGTGTTGCAATCACGTCATGATTCCTTCTTCACCAGTGTTAGGCGATGAGATTATAATGAAAAGCATTAGAGCCATCACACTATTGGGAAGCATCCCCCACTAAGCTGTGAAAAGCTAGAAACTCTGATGAAAATGACGCTGAAAGATGACTTCCACTTCCAAAAGGTGCAGATTCACCAAAGGGAGAAACCCAGAGCTGAGGCCGGTCTGCAGCAGGTGCCGGGCCTGAGACCTTTATGTTGTCTGAGGGAAACACCTCCATCCCCTGTCAGGCTCAGAGTGTCCTTTTTTGTTCTGGGAACCATTTCTGTGTCATTTGTGTGGAGGCTGAAGTTGCCCGGGGTCGTCCTGCAAGGCGTCTCCCAGAGCGAAGTCCCTCCGACGTGCCCCCTGGTGATGATGTTTAAGGAAACCAGGCTGAACTTTAATTTTCCTTCAGTGTTCGTGGCAGAGCGTGTTAAGTACACTTGACCTTTCTAAATTTATCACGCAGCATTTGAGTCTCTTGGATGTTTGCAGGATTTTCAAACCCAGGTTTCGGCCTTTTTAAAGACGCCGTGGGGTGAGGAGGGTGCGTTGGAGGCGCTGTGACCAGGATGGGATGGTTTCCAGCTCCCGTTTTCTTCCTGCCCAGTCTCCTTTCCAGCCAACATCGAGTAAGACCAGGGCCACCTGGGGTGCAGAGGCCCCTGGAAAGGACTCCCCTTCCTTCTCTGCAGCAGGCACAGGGGCCTGGGCAGCTGGGCCTGTGCAGCCCTTTCTCTCTGTGGACTTGCTGTTTTCAGCCTCCCTGGAGGGGCTGGTGGTTCTAGACACTGAGGTTGACAGGCGTGCTCGAGGAGTTCTCATCACCCTGTTCTTCCTTAATGGAAGGAAGTTATTTCTAAAATTCTACCGAGAGGGGCTGCCTGGGGTGAGACATACCTGCAGGTCCGATGAGGCTTTGGGATGTGGACAGATAACCAGAGCAGGATGGTCCTGTCCGCAGGGGATACCGGGAAGCCTGTGGGGTCCTGGCGAGGCTCCGGCTTGGCTTCCAAGGACCCTGCCCCTTGGCTGCTGACTGGACCCAGGGCCCGGCTTTGTGTCTTCGCAGTTGGTGAAACACATTGATCTACAATGTGTTTCTGTAGCACCTTGATGTGGTCAGACCCCGGTGAGTTGACTCCTCCCCCACGGACACAAGGACAGGGCTGCACCCACATGTTCTGCCATCCTCACTGGCTGCTGGGGCCGTGCCCCCACGTGGAGCTCTTGCTGGCCAAGAGAAGCAGCTGTCCTGTGAGGCCCTGCTCCATGCCAGGATGGTTCCCCAGACAACGCTGGGTGTGCAGCAGATCCCCGCCGCCCTCTCCTCGTGTGAGCTGACGCATGGACAGAACACTTGGGGTTGCCCTGTGCCTGCCGCTCAGCCACGGTCTCATGAGTGGACCCATCTTGTGGAACATCCACAGTGCCCAGGAGGCTTGCCTTTGTGTCCACACCCTGTGTCCAGTGCTGGGGTGGTCCCTGACCCAGCCCCTCTCCTCCTCGGGGAGTTTGACCTGCATGGCCACATCAGAGTCCTCACCCTGAGGATGGACAGGAGATGAAGGGAGGGAGAGGGGAGGTCCACCCTCATTCCCTCCCCACGGAAGCCCCAGCCTGGCCATTGTCCCTTGGCCAAAGGTCACCCCCAAAGGCAGCCCAGTCCTCACAATTCCCTCCCCTGGGTATGGCTACTCCCCCCGCACCAGCCCAGTACTGCATCATCCCTGCCCTGCAAACGGTCCCTCCTGAAGCCACCCTGGGGGCCTGGTGGAGGACTCTCGACTCACAGGCGGGCTCCCTGTCTCAAAGGTGCTCATTCCTGAGGGCGTCATCCCAGGTGGCAAATCTGTTTGCTTTTAAATTCTGGTGAGAGCAGTGCTGCTCACTGTTGTGCCCTGTTTGTGGCCTTGTCTGGCTGGGGGTGCAGCTCCTTTCCTCCCCCGCCCCCGGTACTGACCAGGGCCTGGCACTGGGGAAACCTCCTGCCTCCTCCCATCCCCAGGGCTGCAGGGCTGCATCCAGCCTGGGCAGCTGGTCAGGGCTGTGAGGGGCTGGGGTGGGACTCCAGCTGCTCTATGTCCTGGCAGGGGTTGGGCCTGCATCTCAAGGGGCATGTGCAGCATGGGTGCTGGTGGGAAAATGTGGGAAGGCCTCTCCTCCTGCGGGGTAGGTGGGCATTTCTCATCATAAAATGAGACATTTGTATCCTCCTCATGGTGACCTTAAGCCTCAGGAAGAAGCTAGGGGAGGCTGCTGTGGCTGAGAGACCTTCCCAGGACATGGTCTCTTTCCCGACGGGCCTCTGCAGTCAGCGTCCGAAGGAGAGATGGGCCTGTGAGTATAGCTGGGTGTCAGGGCCCGGACCTGGATTTCGGGCCTGGTGCAGCTTGGCCAGGAGAGGGAGCGCGGTTTCAGACAAGGGAGGGTGGCGCCTGGGCTTCCAGGCTTGGAGGGATGGCGTGGGCTCACAGCCCCTTTCTCCTCGGCCATTGGCCCCAGAGGGTCCCTCCAGGGAATGGAAGTCAATGTCTCTCGTGCAGGTTCTTTTTATCTTTAAGGGAGCAGCAGCTGCTGGGTTAGGGTGTTTGGAATAAGAAGTATTTGTTCCTGCAGCTGTACATCTGAACGTGAAACATGGCTGTTGCGTTACAACCGTCGCAAGAGGGAAGAAAATCTAGTCTGTAGTTAGGATGATTTCCACCCCTCGAATTTGGAAGTGGTGAATTAGTGGAGGTGGGGGTGGGTTTCACACCATTTCAGGAGGGCTTGTTCCTGTAGGGCCCTGACAGCGGACAGAGCCTGCCACGTGGACACAGTGCATGTGACGCGGCACCCGTGGGGGATGGGTTTTCATCTGCCCTTCCTGCCCCTCCATTTTTCGTAGCCTCTTTGGGGCATGACATACCCACCTTGAGCTTCGCATTTTGAGAGGACATTTGTAGAGTGGAGCTGACAGTTAAGGGGACGATGCGCGAGAAGAGAAGGCTTGGGAGACATCGGCCAGCTCTCCCGCAAAGTGCGCTGAGAGCTGAGGGGCTGGTGGTTCTGCACCCTCTGGGACGGGGCAAGCCTGGCCGGGCAGTGGACAGCAGTTGGCATGGGACAGGCTCAGCTCCCAGAGCCACAGTGAGCAGCATTGCGGCCACTCGGTGTCCAGATGCCTGTGTTCCCTCCTACCTTGGCCGAGGCCCTCCAGCACGATGGTCCTACTGCGAGGCTGGAGAAGGGATGGGGTCGGGGTGCCTGCTGTGACTGTCCTGGGGCAGAAGGGCCTCCAGCTCAGAGACTCCGCAGGTCTCACCTCATAACTCCGTCTGGCTGCTGATTCCACTTTACGTGTTCTTTGAAGGCAAATGTGTTTCCCATGAAGCAAATTGGTTCGGCTGCGACTTAGTGCCACTCGCTGCATGGGAATAACTTCTTAGTCGAGTTCATTGCTGTTCCAGGTGCCGGCTGCCCCTGGCTGCAAGGAGAGGCCATTTCCACATAGCAGCCACTGAGCTGTGTGACCATGAGAGCCGTGGGAGGACACGGCCCAGGGCGACGGCGCCTCTGAGTTCAAGGGGACATGCCTCTGTGCACACTCAGCAGCCGGGGGATGAGAGGACAGGGTGGTGGGGCGGGGATGGAGCTGGGGCACAAAGAAGATCGGTTTGAATAAACGCAGCTGAGTATCGTGTAGACGTTTGAGAGGCTTCATCCCTCCGTAGGATCCTCCTGTCTTCTGTGGATGTGAACAGCGTCATTACAGAGTCATCCGAGGTGGATGCAGGAGGCCTGGCTGCACCGGAGGACAGCACCTGGGGCTGCCTCACCACGCGTCTTGGGCCAGGGCCCTGCTTTCTGGATGTGTCCATTAACATCCCACAACCTTTGCTGAGGCTCTCACCTCTTTTCTCCAAGAGCCCGTTTGTGAAAACTAAGATGTGGCCAGGAACAAAGGAGAGCAGGAAGGACAGAACTTGCGTTTAGCCCATTTTCTATTCTGGGAATGCGACGCGTGATGATTTATCCGTGCATCTGTGTTGTCATCCGTGTTCTCGCAGGGCCTGGTTCCAGCAGCCAGGCTGGTGGCTGAGTCTAGAATTGCATTTGTGACGGCGGCAGCCGTTATTGCAAATGTACCTTTCTTGTGTATTGATCTTTCGCAGATCCCATTATTTTTAATTTATTTAATAAGGAGGAGTGTTTGTTTCATAACTCAGAATCAAAACCATAATTATTCACTCAGACTCTGGTGTCTGTGCAAGGGAAGCCTGTGGGTTGATGTTTTTCATTCTTCAATGACCAGAGGATTAATTGAGGGGCCACCACAGAAAGAAGGCACAATACATCTCTTTTCTAATGAACTTGCATTTCAGAGCTTAAATCCAAAGTAATTGGATTTCACAGTCAAAGTGCGCTTTCACTTCGTGTGGTCTATGGACACGGCTGCGTGTCCTCCACATGCGTCGCAGCCTGGGCTGATCTTAAAAACAACTTTATGTACAGCAGGTGTGTCGTGTTTCATTCTGTGAGGAATCACTCACTGAAGTGTGGTGTGGCCTCAGTGGCCGCACCTGCCTCCTGCCGAGGGCTTCAGGGCCCAGGTGTGGCCCTTCGGACGCCTGTTTCCCTTCAGCTTCTCTTCGCAGACTTTGAGGCCCAGGCACTGCCCTGCCTGCATCTGGAGCCCTTCTCCTTCCAGGGGCCCGCCTCACGTTGGGTGAAATCAAGCCTCCATGGTTGTAGGTTCTAATCGCCAGTCCGAGCTTAGCCCTTAGGGTTGACCTATTCCTTCAGATCGATCACAGCTGAGCTCAGCACTGAGCATTGGAGGGTGAAAAAGAAGTTTTGTATCATCTGTGTGTGGGTTAATAATAACGTATGTATTTGGAGTTTGTGTCTGGTTCCTGGCTCCTGAGACCCTTGGAGTCTCTGGGGCGATGAGTGTCTTTTGTGTGCTGAGAGGTGGCTGGGAGCCCTGGCTGGCTTCAGGGTGGGGCTGGTGGCCAGAAAGGCCAAGGCACCATTAGATGGTTGGGCCTTTCAGGCCCCCCCAACTCTTGGGGGGTTAATCACCAATGGCCAGTGATTTAATCCATCATGCCTATGTACGTGAAACCTGCATAGAGAACTAAGTGAGAGGTTCATGGAGCTCGCAGGTTGGCAGACACGTGGAGGTGCAGGGAGCCTGGTGCACCCAGGGCAGGTGTGACGTGTGCCCTGCACCCTGCCCCGTGCGTCCCTCAGTTTGGCTCTCCTTGAGCTGTGTCCTTTATAAGAGCTAGTGATGGTGAGTGAAGTGCTTTCCCAAGTTCTGTGTCATCCAAAGAAAAATTGCACCCGAGGAGGTTGTGGGCAGCCGAGTTTGTCGCTGGCTGGGAAGAAATGCAGGTGGCCTGGCTGTCCATCTGCACTGGCCCTCATGGGGGGGTGGTCTTGCGGGACCGAGCCCAGAAGCTGTGAATTCTGGGACCTTGGTGCCGGGATTGACGTGAACCGTGGCTTCCCGTGGAGGATGTGGCCGTGGATCAGGTGATGGCCACTCGGAAGGGTCCAGGGGCTTCTTGTTCAGTGTGGACAGGGGTGCTCCTTGCCGAGACCTGCAGAGTGAAGCCGACACAGGGGAGAGGTGGCTACATCCTGGGGTCGGGGGAATCCTCCGAAAGTATTTTCTGTGGGGAGAAGGCTGCTGTGGAGCTGGGGTTCTCCAGAGAAACAGACTCAGCAGGGGGTTTGTATGTGTGTATAAATAGAGATGTGTGTGTATAAATAGATATATGTGTGTGTAAATAGAGATATATGTGTGTGTACAGACAGAGACAGTATTTCAAGGCATTAGCTCACCGATTGGGGGCCTGGCGGGTCTGACATCTGCAGGGCAGCTGGTGGGCTGGGAATTCAGAGGCGGGTTCCTGCTGCAGCCTCTTGTCCGAATCCCACAGGGCAGCGGCTTGGAGACTTTGACAGCTCTTCATGTTGCCGCCATCTACAGCAGGATTCCATCTCCTTCAGGAAACTTCGCCCTGGCTCTGCAGCCTCCGCCTGGATGAGACCATCCAGCACCATTGCCTTTAAGTCAGCAGATTCAGCAGATGGTGGTGGCCACCGCGTCTTCCCAGGGCCTCACAGCAGCTCTCCGCCTTCAGCTGCATCCCCGGGCCTGGCCGGGCCAAGCTGAGCTGACAGGGATGCCGCAGCCCCCTGGAGTCCAGTCCCCCCAGGACCCAGAGAGTGCTTTCCAACATCGTAACCCGATCGCACTCCACTTGTAAATGCGCCCTTGGCTACCGTCTTACAAAACAAGAGTTGTCTTTGTGGTCACCATCTGCCTTCCAGCTCTCTGGAGCCTGCGGAGACCCCAGCGAAGGCAGTGAGCGTGGTCCTGGCCCCACCTCAGCCCTCCTGTGGTGCAGGATGAGCCCTCCCTGACCTATTTGGCTTGCAGATGTGATTTCAGTGTCTATGTGAATTGGGCATCTGTGTTTACAGTTCTGAAAGTTTCATGGAAAGGTTTCTGGTCTCCCATGTGGTACCAGGAGATCTGTCCGTGTGGGCCCTGAAGCCAGGGCAGCCGCTGGTTGAAGCTGAGGCCACTTAGGGCAGGACTTTCCCAGCCTCCTGGGGATCTGGGTCCCGGTTTGGCCTCAGAGGCATTTGGGCAGAGCCTCCCGTGTTCTAGAACACATGCTGCCACAGAGACGCGTCATCAAAAGAGCCTGGGCAGACGCGATCCCAGAGGGTGAGAAGCCACAGTCCCCCCATCCTCAGCCCACCCCTGTGGCGAGTGCTTAGGTGGGTGATCGGGCCGTGTGGAGTCGTGTTCATCATGGAGGATGTGGAAGCACCTTCCCATTCATCTCCCAGGGTGGCAGATTGCTAACACCTTCCCATTCATCTCCTAGGGTAGCAGATTTGCTAAAACTCTGGAGAGCTGCATTAACACTTGAAACCACCACAGCAAGAGCTGGGAGTCGATGCAGTAGGAGCCTGTGAAGGGCTGGGCTTTCTGTTTTTTGTTGCCTGAACTTGATCGCTGGTAGGTTGTACATCTACATTTGGTGATGGTGGATAAGATTGGGGATTGAAGGATCCATTTTTTTCCAGGTTAAATGTTTGGGCATTTGGATGATCGACAGTGTGTTCAGTTATGCTTTCTCCAGGTTCATGTCCCCACTGGCCCCATCTCCTGCACCCATCCATAGCTATAAGCTCCCCTGACCCCATCAAGCTACCTGGAAAAGTGCATACCCTGGTCCCGAGGGGAATTGGATGAATGAGCCTGGATGAACGGAGGCAGCTCCTGCACCATGGGAGGAGGGACTCGGGGCATGGGAGGAGGGACTCTGGGCATGGGAGGAGGGACTTGGGGCACGGGAGGAGGGACTTGGGGCACGGGAGGAGGGAGGAGGGGTACAGAAGGAGGGACTCGGCACGGGAGGAGGGACTCGGGGCACGGGAGGAGGGACTTGGGGCACGGGAGGAGGGACTCAGGGCATGGGAGGAGGGAGGAGGGGCACAGAAATAGGGACTCAGAGCACAGGAGGAGGGACTCGGGGCACGGGAGGAGGGACTTGGGGCACAGGAGGAGGGACTCAGGGCATGGGAGGAGGGACTTGGGGCATGGGAGGAGGGACTCTGGGCATGGGAGGAGGGACTTGGGGCACGGGAGGAGGGAGGAAGGGTACAGAAGGAGGGACTCGGCACGGGAGGAGGGACTCGGGGCACGGGAGGAGGGACTTGGGGCACGGGAGGAGGGACTCAGGGCATGGGAGGAGGGAGGAGGGGCACAGAAATAGGGACTCAGAGCACAGGAGGAGGGACTCGGGGAATGGGAGGAGGGAGGAGGAGCACGGAAGGAGGGACTCGGGGCATGGGAGGAGGGGCACATCTGCTCATGGAGGGAAACACAGCAGAGCCCTCTTCCTGGAGATGAAATCCATGGTGTTCACCACAGGAGAGACGCACAAGGTCACCAACCCATCTTCTTCCTGGAGACTGTGGAAATTTAGAAACGGACTTGAAACCGTTTTCTGGTATCACGTAGCTCATCAGTAGCAGGCCTGAACTTGTGCTTTTCTGTATGCCAGCATTTGTAAACTTTGAGTAATATCTAAACCCCATTAAAAGGGAAAAATTGTATGGACCTCCTTTGTTGACTTAAGGCATTATTATCATTAATGTAATTGTTTAAATCACTGAAATGAAACAAGGTGTGGAATTTTATGCTGGATTTTAATTAACAAGAATGTTTCATGGATGCCCAAACTTCTGATTTTCCATTTTATCTCAAAACAGCTCTCTTTGCTTGCTATACAGTGAGATTTTAAAGTAGAGGCCAATTCTACTTGGTTGTTGCACTTTCACCCTTAATGTTTCTTCAAATCCTTTCAAAATCTGAAATGTCATCAGAGTACATCTTCATCGGTTCAATTGAAACCTTTTTTTTTCCAGTGGTGTCTTTCTTGCCTTAATTGGTTGGGACTCTTGTCTCTGGAATTGTTCCCAGAATTTTATATTAAAGTAGCTTTTGTTACAGTGGGACTCACATAGTGTGGTATGATTGGTTTACAAAGAAGACATTTAGGTTCTTGTCGATGTTATCAGAAGAGGACAAATGGTTTCGTATTTATTATTCCATGCTTCAGGGGCATTGGTGGGAGTGTGGAACGGAAAATTTAAACATCAGAAACTCCATTAGGGGACGTTGATGCACTGAATGGAAGTCACACCAGCAAATTCTTCTGCGGTGAGGGCGGAAGTCACACCAGCAAATCCTGCTGTGGGGGCGGGCAGGTGATTTTACTGATGCGCAGCAAATACTGCTGTGAGGGCGGGCAGGTGATTTTACTGATGCGCATAGCCCACATGCTGCAGAGGTGCACCCTGACATCTGTGTTTGGTCGGCCCTCTGACTCGTGAAAATGTCTTCTGGCAATTAGTATTTCAGTTTTGGTACCTTTGGTAACTTTTACAAAGAGTGCATGTTTAAGGGTCAAATGTAATCACTTATTAGTAAATGAAATTTTTTATTTTAAACACACAGATGGGTGTTATGCACACAGTTTGCAGTGATTTTTGATGAAGGGAAGGTTCATTCCCTCCCACAAACACCCTTCTGGCTTAATCCCTCCTGTAATACAGGGTTTCTCTACATTATACTCATCTGTCTTGGCTTAAGCAGTAACACCTGTGCCTGTTGAAGCGCCTTCTTCCTAAGTGTCTGGCTTTGTGTACTTTCATTTGCATACAGAGATCTGTAACTGTTAAGGAGCCCCTGCCCTCTCACACTGTGGATACTGTCAGTGCCTACCTTTCACTGAGATCAGCGGGAAAAACCTCTGGAGGTTGGGTGCTGCCCCTGGCATCTTGCATTAATAGTTTACAGCCCGCGGTCCCCACATCCCGGCTGCTTCTGCCCTGTGTTGTGCTCCTGAGAGATGTGTTGGTGTCTGGCCGAAAGGTCCTTTTGGTTTCCAGGGTACCATAAATCCTCAAAATTAATGGGCAATGCAGGCCCTTACCAGCTCCTCCTCCTGTGTGGTGACCTCCAAATGTGGCCACCTGGGTGACAGCAGACAAATAGACATGTGTGCCAAGTACCTTGAGCGAGCCCAGCAGGTTGTGATACAGTTGGTGCACGCAAATCATGAGTGTGTGAGGGACATGGATGACCAGCGATGAGACAGAGGATGCGCGGGATGCTTCAAGCAGAGTTTAAAGTTCTGTCCCTGAAAATGGTCAAGGTTCTCAACAGGAAGTAACCATCCAAACAGTGGCATTTTCAAGCCAAGGACTCAAGTGAAAAGGATTCCTTCAGTGTGATCACGCTTTCCGGAGCATAGTGGCTCTCATATGCCAAAGGGTTTAAAATACTAATGACGTTATTACGTAATTCTGTAAAAAAGTCATTAACATCACAAACTGGCCGTAGTTGTTTGCTGCTACTGTGTGCCTCTCTGAGACATATGTGTGCGTGAAGACACCTGAGCAGGTGGGCTCTAGTTGGGGTTTCCATAAACTCTCACCCTGAGACTCTTCTGCAATTGAACACAAACCCACACCTTTCTTTCCTGACCACTTAAAGTTCTTTTGTCCTTCTGTTTTGATGACTTTAGTTTTATCTTGACTTTTGAACTTCAAATTAAATTTCTGACAGTAAAGCTGGATAATTTTAAAATATCATTTTTTGGGATCCCGGAGGCTATTTAAAGTCTTTGGTTCCATGTAATTAATAAAAAATTGAAAGGGCATTCCATGGCAAAACTCTGCACTTTAAACTGGCAGCCACAAAGGGTGAGGGCAATCTCTCCTTTGGAAGAGTATATTATACTTTGGAATGTTAAGTCCATGCTATTTCCCATTTTGTTTATAGGGATGATATTATGTGCATGATTGCTCTGTTCTGAAGCAAATACTGGCCCTGTGGATTATATCAAATAGATACATTCACTAATAGAAGTGCCTGACCCTGCATGCTGCTTTTGCCTCTGATCACTTTTTTTGAATGAGTTACAAAAATAATTCTTCAAAATAGTTCTTCAAATTCTGTTGAATAAGAGTTCTGCATGAGGTGTGTCTTTTGAACTCTTGTTGGACGTTAGCTCAGGAGGTGGGTCTTCAGGGCCCCTCATGTGTTAATAGGAGCCTTAATGTTCTCCAGGCATCATGTCATGATGAACATTAATGTACTGTGGGATACTGACGGAGTGTGCCATTTATCAATAGGCTGTAAGACAGTGGTCCCCAACCTTTTTGGCACCAGGGACCAGCTTCCTGGAAGACAGTTTTTCCATGGACCATGGTTGGGGGTGTGGTTTTGGAAAGATCCAAGTGCAATATGTTTATTGTGCACTTTTTTCCAACTCATTTGCCACTCTAAAGCCCACTGATAGGGTTTTCATATGTGTCTGCAAGCAATTGATTGATTGTGATCTCTGTGCAGTCAGACCTCTCTGTTCATGTTAATCTGTGTTTGCAGCTGCTCCCCAGCACTCCCATCACTGCCTCAGCTCCACCTTGGATCATGAGGCATTAGATTCTCGTACAGAGTGTGCAGCTTCTGTCCCTCCTGTGCGCAGTTCACAATGGGGTTTGCACTCCTGTAAAATCTAACACCACCGCTGATCTGACAGGCAGCAGAACTCAGGCGGGAATGCTCGCACACCTGCTGCTCACCTCCTGCTGTGTGGCCTGGTTCTTGTACTGGTTCATGGCCCGGGGGTTGGGGACTCCTGCTGTAAGAATAGAATGGGGCTGGAAAAATTGTTTTTGCAGAAGACAGATTTATGCATTTCTTTCCTTCATGGCGACTTTCTGAGGAGAGAAGAGGGGAGTGGGGAGGAGAACAGTCGCATTCATGGGATACTTTGCAAATTCCATGCTGTTTTACCTGTTTTACACCAAAAAGTGGGTGAGGTTGTGTGGCTTACCCAGGACATGGTGGAGGGGTCTTCAGCCCAGGGTGGTGATGCAGTGGCCCCATCCTCCCTGGTCCTGGCCTCCTCCACATCCTGACCCCCGGGGCTGTTCACGGAGGGGAGTTGGAGTCATGAGGCTGTGCTGAGCTGCGTTGCCCAGGTGCCTGCACATGTATGCCCACCAGGGTGGACCTGTAGTGGGTCCTGCCCACCATTTCTCTCCTGGCTGTGGCTCTCAGGGTGCTCTGGTGAGACAATGTAACTGGCACCTGCCTTAGGGCTAGTGATATGGTTTGGCTGTGTCTGTACCCAAATCCCATCTTAAATTGTAGCTCCCACAATTCCCATGTATTGTGGGAGAGACCCAGTGGGAGGCACTTGAATCATGGGAGTGGGTCTTTCTCGTGCTGTTCTCATGGTAGTGAATAAGTCTTACAAGATCTGATGGTTCTATAAGGGGGAGTTTCTCTGCACAAACTCTCTCTTACCTGCTGCCATGTAAGACATCCCTTGGTCTTTCACCATGATTGTGAGGCCTCCCCAGCCATGTGGAACTGTGAGTCAATTAAATCACTTTCCTGTATAAATTACCCAGTCTCGGGTATGTCTTTATCAACAGCATGAAAACAGACTAATACAGTAAATTGGTACCGGTAGAGTGGGGCACTGCTGTAGATAACCAAAAATGTGGAAGCAACTTTGGACCTGGGTAACAGGCAGGGGTTGGAACAGTTTGGAGGGCTCAGCAGAAGACAGGAAAATGTGGGAAAGTTTGGCACTTCCTAGAGGCTTGTTGAATGGCTTTGCCTAAAATGCTGACAGCAATATGGACAATAAAGTCCAGGCTGAGGTGGTCTCAGATGGAAATGAGGAACTTGTTGGGAACCAGAGCAAAAGTGACTCTTGTTATGTTTTAGCAAATAGACTGGCAGCATTTTGCCCCTGTCCTAGACATTTGTGGAACTTTGAACTTGAGCAAGATGATTTAGGGTATGTGGCGGAAGAAATTTCTAAGCAGCAAAGCATTCAAAAGGTGACTTGGGTGCTTGGTTTTGTAGGGGAAGCAGAGCATAAAAGTTCAGAAAATTTGCAGCCTGACAGTGTGATAGAAAATAAAATCCCAATTTCTGACTAGAAATTCAAGCCAGCTGTGGAAATTTGCCTAAGTAACAAGGAGCCAAATGTGAATCCCTGAGACAATAGGGAAAATGTCTCCAGGGCATGTCAGAGGTCTTCACAGCAGCCCCTCCCATCACAGGCCCTGAGGCCCAGGAGGAAAAAGTGGTTTTGTGGGTTGGGCCCAGGGTCCCCATGCTGTGTGCAGCCTAGGGACTTGATGCCCTGCGTCCCAGCTGCTCCAGTTGTGGCTGAAATGAGTCAATGTGGAGCTCAGGCTGTGGCTTCAGAGGGGGGCAAGCCCCAAGCCTTGGCAGCTTCCACATAGTGTTGAGCCTGCAGGTGCACAGAAGTCAAGTACTGGGGTTTGGGAACCTCTGCATAGATTTCAGAAGATGTATGGAAATGCCTGGATGCCCAGGCAGAAGTTGGCTCCAGGGGTGGGGCCCTCATGGAGAACCTCTGCTAGGGCAGTGCAGAAGGGAAATGTGGAGTTGGAACCTGCACACAGAGTCCCTACTGGGGCACTGTCTAGTGGAGCTGTGAGAAGAGGGCCACGGTCCTCCAGACCCCAAAATGGTAGATCTACCAACAACTGGCACTGTGTGCCTGGAAAAGTCTCAGACACTCAATGCCAGCCCGTGAAGGCAGCTGGGAGGGAGGCTTTACTCTGCAAAGCCACAGGGGCAGAGTTGCCCAAGACCATGAGAACCCACCTCTTGCATCACCATGACCCAGATGTTTGACATGGAGTCAAAGGAGATCATTTTGGAGCTTTAAGATTTGACTGCCCTGCTAGATTTCAGACTTGCGTGGGGCCTGTAGCCTCTTTGTTTTGGCCAAGTTCTCCCATTTGGAATGGCTGTATTTAACAAATACCTATGCCTCCATTATGTCTAGGAAACAAGTAACTTGTTTTTGATTTTACAGGCTCATAGGTGGAAGGGACTTGCCTTGTCTCAGATGAGACATTGGACTGTGGGCTTTTGAGTTAATGCTGAAATGAGTTAAGACTTTGGGGGGCTGTTGGGAAGATATGATTGGTTTTAAAATGTGAGGACGTGAGATTTGGGAGAGGCCAGGGGCATAATGATATGGTTTGGCTGTGTCCCCACTGAAATCTGATCTTGAATTGCAGCTCCCATAATTCCCATATGTTGTGGGAGGGACCCGTTGGAAGGTAATCGAATCATAGGGGTGGGTCTTTCCCTTGCTGTTCTCCTGATAGTGACTAAACCTCACAAGATCTGATGGTTTTATAAGGGGGAGTTTCCCCATACAAGCTCTCTTTGCCTGCTGTCATCCATGTGAGATGTGACTTTGCTCCTCTTTGCCTTCCACCATGATTGTGAGGCCCCCCCAGCCATGTGGAATTGTGAGTCCATTAAACCTCTTTCCTGCATAAATTACCCAGTCTCAGGTATGTCTTTATTAGCAGCATGAAAAAGGACTAATACAGCTAGGGGGTCCCCATCCACCTGAACCCCCATGAACCTCTTGTGGGTCTACTGACTTTGGCCTTCTTGGAGTCTTTCTGTTTCATCTGTGCTGTTTCTTAGGAACCCCGCCCCACCTGTGGGCTGTGCTGTGAGTTTGAATGTGGAGTCTTCTCCATCTTTGTCTGTGCTATTTCTTAGGAACCCTGCTCCACCCGTGAGGTGTGAGTTTGAGTTCGGAGTTGTTTTTGTCTTTCGTCTGTACCATTTCTTGGGAGCCCCCCACCTGTGGGCTGTGAGTGTGAGTTTGGCTGCAGTTTCTGAGGATGCAGCTTTTCCTTCCTGTGTAATTAGTGTGGCTCTTTGTCCCACCCTTCCTTCCCTCCCCTCCTCTGTTCCTGTCTTTGCTTTCATCAAACATTTACTGAACAGACACCATCTATGAAGGTGGGTCTTGGCTGCCACTGCTGCAGAGGCGTGTTGCACAGCAGAACCGTATTCCCTACCCCGGTCCTCCTGCCAACCCCAGTCACCCCCACCCTGGGGTCCGCAGCCCCTTCTGCAGGCTGCTGGAGGGAGCATCCTACGTGTGGACACCTGACCTTGCTGTTCTCTGCTCTAGGGGGCAGCCTATGAGCCTTCCCCACTCTGGGGGCTCTCCCACCCCTTCCATGCACACAGGGCCAGGCCTGGCAGGTGCAGCCCCTGTCCTAACCCAGCACTTCTCACCCCGCACCCTGCCTCACCCTGCAGGGAGCTCTTCCCCTCCACAGCTCTGAGAGACAGGAGTGCGTGCAGATGCACTGTCAATAAATACTTATTAATAACAAATTCACAGATGACAGGACTGGGAGCGGGGTCTTCTCCCCATCCCATTAAAGTCCCCTTGATCGTAACAGCCAACCAGCCTTTTCTGGTAAGAATTTTGTCAAGTATTTTATATATAATATCTCAGCTATTACTAATACCAGTGCTGCATGGAAGGAATTATCATTATCTTCAATGTATTGATTAAAACACCTCTTTGACAAATGTGCCTGCCTGAGCCTATAACCAGAAAGCAACTGAGTTGGATGTTGACCCTGGACCCTGGACCCTGGACCCTGGAGTGTGCTGGACTCCAAAGCCCAGGAGTTTTGCACACTTTCTTTGGAAACGTGGTGATATCAAGGCAGAGAACCAAGAGTGGGGTTTTCAGCATAACTGGATGAAGACTGGGCAGCTTGACTCAGGGCATTCGCAATAGAGGGGGCCTGTGGGGAGCAGCTCACTGTGGGGAGAGGACAGGGGGCTGAAGTCATCCTCGGATGCAGGCGTGTGGTCACCATGAGTCACTGGGACCTGCGGTTCCCCCTTCAGAACCATTGCTGTGTTTCTGTGGAAAAGGAGCTTAAGTCCCTAGTGGGTCCAGGGCCCTCCTGCACCAAGAAGGAGGTGCCTGGGGAAGCCTCTGGGCAGCAGGCGGGGCTTGCAGGCCCCTTTAGGAAAACTCATGCCCTGGGGAGCGAATGTCAAGAGCTGAGGGGACAGCCTCCAACCATTATGTAAAAAAGCCATTGTCAAGGTCAAGGGTTGTCCTGAGGCCAATAGCTTTTATTTGCTTTTGTGTCAGGTTTGTTCAGGTTTGTATAATCATATGATTTGTATGCAGTAAAATGCGGTTTCTAAGTGCACAGCTGGAGGAGTCAGGAGGAGGTGTATAGTCCCGGAGCCAGGTCCAGGACCTGCCGTGTCACACCTGGAAAACCCACAGCTGGCATCAGGACTGGCTGTGTTACACCCAGAAAACCCGGAGCTAGCGCCAGGACTGGCTGTGTCACATCTGGACCACACAGAGCTCTTCCTTGCCCTCATGGATCTGGTTCTGTGCTGTGCTTGCTGTGTCTGTGTTGTAGCCACGGGCCCTGTGCTGTGTGGACTGTGGGGGAGGCTTCTGCCTGCACCCTGCCCTTGAGCACCCTCCGTGCAGGGCCGTACCAGCAGCCCGTCCCTTGGTATTACCAGGTAGTGTCCCTGGAATGGGTGTAAGAAAGTCAGCTCTCCAGCTGCGGACATTTGGATTGTTCCACTTTTCAGCTGTCGTGCGTAAAGCTGTGATAAACCACCGATGCCGGTTTCCTGTGAACTCCATTTTCATTCCTCTTGGGTCCATGACAAAGCCTGTGATTGCTGAGTCCCGGGAAAATTGTGTGTGCATTTCCACCCCCAAGCCGAGCCAGCCAGTTGCCTGCCTCCTCCCTAGCACTCTGCATTGCTGGGGTTTCCTCCCCAGCCTGTGGGTTCGTGGTGGTGTCCAAGTGGGGTCCCCTTTTCTTATGCGTGATGATGCTGGCTGTCTCTTCCTGCACTTACTGGCCATCCCTTGCTCTTCTTTGGTGAAGACCGATACATTTTACATTTAACTATTTTTCCATAACACATGGAGATTTTATTAACACACACGCACCTAATTGCTACCAGATTCATGATGAAACAGGAGCATCCCCTGACCCCGCGTGCTTGATGTGTGACAGGGCTGTGGGGGAGTCCCCTGACCCCCCTCTCAGGACGTGTGACAGGGCTGTGGGGGAGTCCCCTGACCCCCCTCTCAGGACGTGTGACAGGGCTGTGGGGGAGTCCCCTGACCCCCCTCTCAGGACGTGTGACAGGGCTGTGGGGGAGTCCCCTGACCCCCCTCTCAGGACGTGTGACAGGGCTGTGGGGGAGTCCCCTGACCCCCCTCTCAGGACGTGTGACAGGGCTGTGGGGGAGTCCCCTGACCCCCGTCTCAGGACATGTGACAGGGCTGTGGGAGAGTCCCCTGACCCCGCGTGCAGGACGTGTGACAGGGCTGTGGGGGAGTCCCCTGACCCCGCGTGCAGGACGTGTGACAGGGCTGTGGGGGAGTCCCCTGACCCCCCTCTCAGGACGTGTGACAGGGCTGTGGGAGAGTCCCCTGACCCCGCGTGCAGGATGTGTGACAGGGATGTGGGAGAGTCCCCTGACCCCCCTCTCAGGACGTGTGACAGGGCTGTAGGGGAGTCCCCTGACCCCCCTCTCAGGACGTGTGACAGGGCTGTGGGAGAGTCCCCTGACCCCGCGTGCAGGACGTGTGACAGGGCTGTGGGGGAGTCCCCTGACCCCGCATGCAGGACGTGTGACAGGGCTGTGGGGGAGTCCCCTGACCCCCCTCTCAGGACGTGTGACAGGGCTGTGGGAGAGTCCCCTGACCCCGCGTGCAGGATGTGTGACAGGGATGTGGGAGAGTCCCCTGACCCCCCTCTCAGGACGTGTGACAGGGCTGTAGGGGAGTCCACTGACCCCCCTCTCAGGACGTGTGACAGGGATGTGGGAGAGTCCCCTGAACCCCTCCCTCAGGACGTATGACAGGGCCATGGGGGAGTCCCCTGACCCCCCCTCGCAGGACGTGTGACAGGACTGTGGGAGAGTCCCCTAACCCCACGTGCAGGACGTGTGACAGGGCCGTGGGGGAGTCCCCTGACCCCCCTCTCAGGACGTGTGACAGGGCTGTGGGGGAGTCCCCTGACCCTGCATGCAGGACGTGTGACGGGTGTGGCTCATCTGTTTGGCTGCTGCGTGCTCAAAGAGCCTTAGGGAAGGGAGAGCACACAGATAGGCAGGTGCAGGAGCCGGGGTGAGTGCTTTTGGGCTCTGGCCCTGCAGTAGCATCCAGGGGTGGGGTGTCTGTGACTCCCAAAGCCGCGGTGGGTGTGCTACAGTGCTCTTTTAGCAGTTGCCACCCACAGATGGCTTAAGTATTAACCAGCTCAGTGCCCTGTTGATACCCAGGTTCTTATCTGGCGTCCAGGAAGAATCAGGTCACAGGGACAAATTGAAGGATGGCAAATGTGGGGGATTTTACTGCTGGATGGAGGTGGCTCTCAGTGGGATGGATGGGGAGCTGGAGAGGGGATGGAGTGGGAAGGGATCTTCCCCTGGAGTTTGGCCGTCCCGCAGCCAATCTCCTTTCTGACTGTCCCCAGCCGAACTCCTCTTGACATTCACACGCTCCTTCTCTTCTCTCCTTCCCTGACACGCCACTCTTCTGTTCCTCCGCTCTTCCACTAGTGGAGCCTGGGGCTTGGCATTTACATGGGTACAGGATAGGCAGGCATGGGAGGCCAAAAGGCAACATTTGGGCACAAAAACAGGAATGCCTGTTCCCATTGAGGGCCACAGGTTTCCAGGCTTGAGGGCGGGGCCTTTGCCGGGGAACTACCCTCTTCTACCCAGAATTTTTCTGCCACCTGCCCATATCAGTGATGCTTTTCTCAGGGAAAACTGTAGTTGCAATGGATTTAATGTTCAGCTGTGCTGTCCCACCACATCCCCGAGATGGCTGGGTTTGGCCACACCAGGAGCTTGAGCCTGGCTGCCTTGCATGCTCTCCTAAAATGTCTGCCCCAAGACACAGCTGCCTTGTCTGCTGCCCTCATTGTGCCTGGACTATGCCTGTGTCCTGGGTACTCTGTAAACATTTGCTGAATGAGGGACTAAATGAGCAGTGAATCACATGACAAGCCCTCTGCTGATGCCCTGTGGGCACTTGCCTGGTATAATTCTGGTGAGTTGGGAGCTGTGGGGAGGCCCAGTGCTGCCAGGTTTAGGCACCTTTCTGACTTCATGCTCTGGCCGGCCACTGCCTCTCATATTTAGGGTCTCACTGCCACGTGAAGCAGCTGAGAGCTGGTTTCCCCCATGAAATACGTCTGCTGCTGAGCCTCGGGGATGTGGAGTTTCTCATCTATCTTTTCCTCTGCGCCTCAGGCCACCATGCTCTGTGTTTTTAAGCAGGAAGGGATTTTAGCCCCACCCTTTATTATTTTCTGTTACATTTTCCCAGTTAAATGTTACATATAGTAGAAATCTGTAGACTTGAAGTATTCAATTCTGTGAGTTTTGGCAAATGCACCCAGCATGCAGCCCCTGCCTGTGCTGTGACTTAGAACATTTACATCACCCAGAAAGTTCCCATGAAACCACATCCCCGCCCCGGAAATGACTTCTCCCATTCCTTTGCACGATATGCTTGGTTTCTCCAGGTCTAAAGCTTGCTGTTCTGGATTTCCGCAGGGCATTCTTTAATTTCTGCCTCCAGCCTCCATCTGTCCACTTGCTGTGTGTGGACGGTTTGTCTCTGTTTTGAGGGGAGTTCCATTGAGTGGATGCGCCATGTTTCAAACCCACTTTCCTGTTGACGGGCTTTGTTCTTTCTTTTTTTCTTTCTTCAGTTTTTGGCGCCTATGAATAAAGTCTCTCTAAACATTCTTGTACAATCCTTTTTACAGATCGTGTTTTGTTTCTCTCGGGCTAGTGTCCAGGAGTGGAGTTTCTGCGCTGTTGATATTGAGGTGTGTGTCTATGAGGAGCTGCAGGGTCTGGTTTCACAGGAGCGAGTGAGTGTGTGGGTGGCTCTGCAGCCTTTTGCCAGTGTGTTCTTGGCCTGCAGCATTGGCCTTTTGAGTTGGTGTTTGTGGAGAGTTCCATTTCCAGTGGTCTGTCCTGGAGGTGGCTCCCTCCTCCTGACAAGGGAGCTTTGTGATTGGATTTTTGGTGTTTGAGACCCAGCTCTTCCCCTTCACTGCTGCTTGGACCCAGAGCAAACCCCTCAGCTCTAGATTCTGTTTCCTCTGTTTGCGGTGGGGATGGTAAGTGCACTTGCCCCAAGGGTCAGAAGGGCCACTGCGAGGGTCAGAAGGGCCCGCTGCCTGAGCCCTGACTCCAGTGCCGGGCGCGTGGGCGTCGTGTTGCCACCGTGGGAACAGTCATCACACTCTGCCCGTTTCCCTCAGGGCCCAGCCCAGCACCCACAGCGTCTCATCTTCTCATCTGTGCATTTGAGAGTTATCCATGCACCAGGTAGGCAGAGACAGAATGCTGGGCTTGGCAAAGGCTGAGACGCAGAGAGACGGGAGGGCCCTCCCCACACTCCCATCCAGAGAGGGCGCCCAGATGCTGCCGGATGAGAGCGTCTCCCTTTCCTGGCCTGCAGGCTGGCTGCTACTCTGCAGGTGCATGGGCTGAAACAGTTGCTATTTATTTGAATATTTCCAATCCTGCTCCTTCTTCAACTTTCATCCGGTGGGAACTGGCCGCACTGCAGTGTAATTCTTCATTTCAAAGATGGATGAATCACATTAATTGCACAGAAAACCATCTCCAAACCTAAAACAACCAAATGTGGGTGCCAGGAGAGACTTCGTTTGCTTCAGTGGCAGCTGGTCTGTTTTTCCTCTGAAGAGATTAAGCAAAGGAACCCTTAGTAACTGTGTGTGATACAAAGATGGTCTGTCAGCCTTTGGGAATACTAGTTTACTAAAAAGAAATATTTCTTTCTTTCAATCAACAGAACTGTACTTGCTGAAGATAAACGTGCTTAAGAACATGCAGCTAACGCTATGAAATTAGCGTTACTCACACTCAGTTGGAATAGAAGTGCCTTCAACCTTTTAGCAAAGGCAAGAGCAAATTATAGCAAAAAACTCATTTCAGAAGTCATCTTTGTGCAGAATAGGCCGGGCCCCGAGGTCAAGGCATCCATTTGGCACTCTATTTCCATAATGCGATTCCGCAGCGTACGGGCGTCAGAGGAAAGCACATCTGCTGTCATATTAGTCTTATAAATGCCGATGTTAACGCTCCTTTACAGACAAAGCCATCTTGGGGGTGTGGCCACAGGAGTTTCCTCTGCCTGGAAGTCCTTGATTTAAGAGGCCGCTGGGTGGAACCTTCGGCCGTGCTGCCCTGTGCAGCGCATCCTCTGGCAGCCTCCCTGTAGTGGCCCTGCTCAGTGTTACCTTCGGTGTTCTAGAGTGGCCAGGTGGCCCCAGATTGCAGGAGGGATGCCCGGAAGCTGTCAGGTCGGGGAGTCTTAGCAGCCCTATGTGGCTGCTTGGACCCTGGGTGCTGAATCACAGCCTGGAGAACTCTGCCTGTCAGGACTATGCATGCCTTTTGATTTGTTTGCTTAATATATATATTTTTTCCTGCACTTAAAGATAATGCAAGCTGTATAAAAAACAGAAATAAAAACCAAAAGGGAGATGCCCATGAAGCTGAATCAGAGGGTGACTAGATGCTGGGGCTGTCTTGGGGCACTCTGGGGATCAGCGTGGTGGAGATCAGCTCCGGGAACCAGCGTGGTGGGGACCAGCTCCGGGGACCAGCGTGGTGGGGACCAGCTCTAGGGACCAGTGTTGGGGGGACCAGCTCCAGGGACCAGCACAGGGGAGACCAGCTCTGGGGACCAGCATGGGGGGACCAGCTCCGGGTACCAGCTCATGGGAGACCAGCTCTGGGGACCAGCATTGGGGGGATCAGCTCCAGGGACCAGCATTGGGGGGACCAGCTTCGGGGACCAGTGTTGGGGGGACCAGCTCTGGGGACCAGCATTGGGGAGGCCAGCTCTGGGGTCCAGCCTGGGGGTGTCCAGCTCCAGGGACCAGCGTTGGGGGGACCAGCTCCGGGGACCAGCGTTGGGGGGACCAGCTCCGGGGACCAGCGTTGGGGGGATCAGCTCTGGGGACCAGCACTGGGGAGGCCAGCTCCGGGGTCCAGCCTGGGGGTGTCCAGCTCCGGGGACCAGCGTTGGGGGTCCAGCTCTGGGGACCAGCACGGGGTGGGCAGGTGAGACTCCACGGGGACCTCTTAGAGCTGCTGGGGCTCGGGGCAAGCCTCCCTCTGTGCCTGCAGTGCTCAGCCAGAGGTGCTCATCCCCGGAAGGTGTGGCCCTGCGAGGGGGTCTTCCGCACACAGCCAGCGCCCAGGAGGGCTGATGGCAGAGGGTGTCTGTGGCGTGACTCACAGAACCTCATCCCCGGGGCCACGACGGACGCTGAGTGCGCTACGTCCAGCTGTGTGAGGTTCATCTCTCCCTTTTAGAAAATTACATCCATGGGTTTATATTCCTTTTCTCAATAAGTACTATATCTTGAGCATGTCACGTTATCTGTTTTATAAATATGATCTTTAATGTGGTGTAATTTAATTATTCACCTACGGTTGGAAATTCCTTTGTTTCTCAATGTCTGATTCTTAGTAAGCACATCTTTGAAAACGAACGGTTTTCCGCATATGAATCATTTCCTTAGAACATTCCCCTAGAAGTGAAATTCCTAGGTCACTTGGTGTGTGCATTTTTGAGAGTTGCTGAATTTTCCTTCCGAGAACTTGCATAAAGTTCCTCTCTCAAGCGTGAGGTGCTTGTTGCGTCACAAGGTCATCAATGTGGATGTTTATTAGTGAAGAATTTTAATTGTGTAGGAAAATATGCCTCCTCGTTTTGGTTTTCATTTCTTATGCTAAGTTTATGTTTTCTTTTATGAATTTTATTGGTAAAATTGTTACAAATGTTAATCAAATAAAACATAAGGATATATTTTATTCTCATGTATTTAAAAATAGAAGGTTAAATCTTCATGAAGTGAAATTAATCTTTTTTTTTTTTGCTTTCCTTTGCTTGTTTAGGAAGTCTCTCTTATTATAGGATCTGATAACTATTCACCTAATTTTTTCCTTCCTTTTTTTCACCTAAATTTTTCCTACCAAAAAAAGGTTTTACTTGAATCCATCTAAGCCATTGGAGATCCATGTTGCTGTCAGGGTCACTTGGCCGTGTTATCCTTGTCCACACTGTGGGCCCGTGTTTCTTCCCTGCGCAGTCACATACCTGGTCAAGTTTGTTCCTAGGTATCTGAAAATTTTTCGTTATGACCGAGTGAGATTATTTTTTCTCATATTTCCCAAATGACAATTGCTGCTACATTTTTTACTTTTTTTCTTATAATGGGCTGCTCTACCAAAACTCTTTCATTGTGATAGTTCGTTTGATTCTTTAGAATTCAAAAACAGTTGTGTGTAAGGGTGTTTTAAAAATTGTTAATTTTGTGTGGTATTTAGTAAACTCTGAATCTTCAGATGAGCATCTTTGGAAGTGGAAGTTTTTTTGTATTCCACTTTTGCATGTTGCTTTCTTTCATTTATTCTGGTTCTCCCAGCCTTTATTGATTGATTGATTTTTAAAAATTTTTTTGAGACAGGAGTCTCGCTCTGTCACCCAGGCTGGAGTGCAGTGGTGCAATCTTGGTTCACTGCAAGCTCCGCCTCCTGGGTTTATGGCATTCTCCTGCTTCAGCCTCCTGAGTAGCTGGGACTACAGGTGCCCACCACCACGCCCAGCTAATTTATTGTATTTTTAGTAGAGACGGGGTTTCACCGTGTTGGCCAGGATGGTCTCAGTCTCCTGACCTCGTGATCCACCCGCCTCGGCCTCCCAAAGTGCTGGGATTACAGGCGTGAGCCACTGCGCCCAGCCCTCCCAGCCTTTATTTATTTTTTCTTTTTATTTTTGAGATGGAGTCTCGCTCTGTCACCCAGGCTGGAGTGCAGTGGTACAATCTCGGCTCACTGCAACCTCTGCCTCCCAGGTTCAAGCAATTCTCCTGCCTCAGCCTCTCGAGTAACTGGGACTACAGGTGTGTCACCATACCTAGCTAATTTTTGTATTTTTAATAGAGATGGGGTTTTGCCGTGTCGGCCAGGCTGCTCTCAAACTCCTGACCTCAGGTGATCGGTGTGCCTCGGCCTCCCTAAGTGTTGAGATTACAGGCATGAGCCACTGCGCTGGCCTCTCCCAGCCTTTAAAAGGCAGTTGTCCTTATGCCAAATCCCCAGTCAGTCACCGCCGTGCACCAGTTTCTCCTGCAGTGTTGATCACCTCGTTCCCATCGTCTGTAGCTAAGCTCCTGTTCACGGTGGCTTTCGTGTGACTGAGGTGACTTCCCGGGACAGTTCTGCCCTCGGTGTTTCTGACTGGGCCTCCTGCCCGCTGAGACCACACTGTCCTCTTCACAGACTTCCTTCTCAGTCTGTCTGCCGCCCAGTCAGGTCGGGGACTTCTGGAGTGCTGTTATCTTGCTTTTTATGGTTGTCATTTTCTTAAATTTGAGAACACAAATCAGATGCTTTTTAGAATTTACATGGGTTTCCAACTGTAATTTTTAAAACCTATTTATTTTCCTGTACCTTCAATGTAGGTTTGCCTTTTCCGTGCTACAGAATCATTTTGTGGCTCTCACATGGTTTTTCTGTTTCAGTGTTCCAGTTTCTCTGTGTATGTTTGTAACTATGTTTTCACGTTTTTATCCTTATAACGGGAAATGTGTAATCAGGGCTGATATTTACCAATAAACAGATTGGTGAATGAGCAGATTCCCCTTGGCCCTTTTACTTTCTCTACTGGACAGTGGGAGGCGTTTCCTCTCGGTTCAGGCAGATGCCATGTGTGGCCTCAAGTCAGCCTGGTGCTGATAGCATCTGCCCAGTGGCCCCAGGTTGGGGGGGTCCTGTTCTGACCCCCGGCACCCTCACCATGTGTTGAGTGATTCACTTTTGGACACTCTGTGTATTAGTCAGGGTTCTCTAGAGGGGCAGATATATATATATCATATTAGTTACATATACGTGTATGTATATAACTTTATAGGTATATATATGTGTGTGTGTGTGTGTGTGTGTATGTGTGTATATATATATAAAGGGGAGTTTACTAAGTATTAACTCACATGATCACAAGGTCCCACAATAGGCTGTCTGCAAGGAGAGCCAGTCCAGGTCCCAAGGCTGAAGAACTTGGAGTCCAATGTTCAAGGGCAAGAAGCATCCAGCATGGGAGAAAGATGTAGGCTGGGAGGCTAGGCCAGTCTAGTCTTGTCACGATATTCTGCCTGCTTTATATTCTGGCCATGCCAGCGACTGATTAGATGGTGCCCACCCAGACTGAGGGTGGGTCTGCCCCTCCCAGTCCACTGACCCAAATGTGAATCTCCTTCGGCAACGCCCTCACAGACACACCCAGGATCAATACTTTCCATCCTTCAATCCAATCAAGTTGACACTCAGTGTTAACCATCACACTCTGGTTCCTCTGGACCCCACACAATTCCTGCCTCTTCACCTCTGTCTGGCAGAGCTCTCGTCCTAAAATTACAGTTTCTGTGTGGCCACAGCAAGGAGGAAGACTTGGGGGGTCGAGGATGGTGGGGCCCAGCTGGGCCTTGGGTCTCTGAGGGACCTGCAGGGGAGGGGGCTGAGTGCTGTCCTTCCTCCCTGGGGAGCCCCCCAGCTGCTCTGTGCCTTGGTCCTTGGACGTCCCTGTGCAGCAAAGCAGTGGCCTCCTGGCTTCCACACCTGTCATTTCTCATTTACTGTGCGGGCGGGCCGGGCCAGGAACTAACAGTTTCATATGAACTTCACCTAAAAGTCCACACTGAGCTTTTCAAAGTGTGGCTGTCGGCTTCCATCATGTATGGAAACCCTACTTCATCTACCTGGTCATCACTGTGATCAGTGCTAGCCCAGCCAGTGATGCTGGTAGGAATACCATTTTTTCTTTTTCAAGAAAGTTTGTAATGAAAGCTTTAGGTAGTCGCTAAGAAAAGTCAAGATTTGCTTCTCTGAAGTCAACACAAGCGGGGGCCTCCCAGGGAAGCTGTGGCAGCTGTTACAGGGTCCCGCTTCTCTCCTGGTAGGGATGTTCCAGTTGGGTTCAGCCTGCTGCCGAATATCCTGGGAGGCCGGTGCAGGAGGCTCTAGAATCAACCTGTACTGTAAACGTTTGCCCTGTTGAAGTTATGGAATTACAGGACAAATTCTCTGACTTAGATATGCAGTGGTGTGGACAGTAAAGCCTCATCAATAAGGTTTGTATTAAAATGCTCGGTGACTTCTGGTGCTGGTCAAATATTGTTCTTTCCTCAGCTCAATTTAAAGGTTTTCCTCCTCTGGGAAACTTGCAGAAGGGAAAGTCAAACTCAGGAATTTGGTGTCTTGAAACAGGAACATGGCCCTAAGTTATGGTGGGAGCAGATGAGCCATTCCCAAATGCTGCTGCCATGGTTGAAATTTGTAAACCGTCTGGAGAAACGGTCCATATAATTGAATCTTTTGAAAATGAACTCATTATGGAGAGAGTTGCATTTTAGAGGGGAATGACTGAGCATCTGATGGGCTCTGGGCCAAGGAGGTCAAACGACTTTTCCTTCATTCTGATAGCCATGGATGGGTTCAAGAGCTTATTTTTTACTCTCTGGAAAAAAACTAACATTAATAGAGCTTATCCCAGACTTCTTGGGGCTATTTCCAAAGGACAGAATGCTGAGGCTCACTTACAACGTAATTTCGTCATCCTTCGCCCGCGGAGAGCTAACCCATGGTGAATTAAGCAGGTGACTGACGTGCTCCCCAGGAGCCAGCCTGACTCCAGCACAGTGTGAGTGCCACCGCCCAGCCTCCCAGTTGGTGCCTCCATCCTGTGAACCACTGCGTCCTCCTGCCCATGATGGCCGTGGCCTTTCCCTTTCCCACCAGTGAGGATATCTGAGTACCACAGAGCTCAGGTGAGGGAAGTCAGCAGTTGTCTAGCATAGCTTCCGTATTTTACAGGTGAGAACACAGGACTTGGAGAATCGGGGGCTCATGGCCACATGGGGAGTGAATGCCTGTGTGTGGACCAGAGGCCTGGCCGTCCACCTGGGGCATCTGTGCCCCCGCCATACTTCCCAATTCAGCTGCCGTAGCAGCAGGAGCATGCTTGTGCCTGGGCCAGATGCTTCCGAGCACTGGGGGCTGGTTGACCGAGGAGAAGTCAGCTCTGTGGGTGTCCCTGCAGCCTGGGGCACGAGTCCTGAGCTTGTCTCTCATTCCAGGTGCTGTTGCCTTTCCTGGCAACTTATCTAGGACTTTTCTGATGCAGAGGTCACTGTTTCTCCCCTGAACCCCTAAGCTATGCTTTTCCAGTCCTGGGTGCACGGGAGCGGCACTGCCCAGCACAGACAGGGTTATGTAGCAGAAACACTCCCTGGAATTGGCAAAGGCACCGCTTTGCTGTTTTAAATCCTATTTGCTTTCCTTGTGACGTCTTCGGTCATTTTCATGGTTTATTTCCATTCACAATACCCCTGGAAACAGAAACCAGCTAAACGACTGCAGCTTTGGATCTCTGGTAACCAGAAGCAAAGACAAAAATTCAGGAATGAGAACCCTGGCCGTCAATGGCGACTGATTTCAGAAATTGAAAATGTCCTTAGGACAAGTCCCAGCAAATGTGGCAGAAGAACCACCCATGGTCCGCAGCACCACGTCCTTCCAGCCGTGTATGTCTCGGTGGATGGAGGGGCTGCCGGGGCTCTGCGTTCGGGGAAACAAGGCGCTGTGGGCTTGTTCCCGGGTTGCCATGGCGATTCCTCATTATCTCCAGTCACAGAGCCGTGTGCAGGGTATTGGCAGCTTACACATGTGCTGCAGCTTCTCCCAGGGATGCTGTGGGTGTGTGGGTGTGTGTGCGTGTGCACGCGTGCATTGGGCTGTGGCTTCTCCCAGGGATGCTGTGGGTGTGTGGGTGTGTGTGCGTTTGCACGCGTGCATTGGGCTGTGGCTTCTCCCGGGGATGCTGTGGGTGTGTGTGTGCATTTGCACACGTGCATTGGGCTGCAGCTTCTCCCAGGGATGCTGTGGGTGTGTGGGTGTGTGTGCATGTGCACGCGTGCATTGGGCTGCAGCTTCTAGGGATGCTGTGTGTGTGTGTGCATTTGCACACGTGCATTGGGCTGCAGCTTCTCCCAGGGATGCTGTGGGTGTGTGGGTGTGTGTGCATGTGCACGCGTGCATTGGGCTGCAGCTTCTAGGGATGCTGTGTGTGTGTGCGTGTGTGTGTGCACGCGTGCATTGGGCTGCAGCTTCTAGGGATGCTGTGTGTGTGTGTATTTGCACACGTGCATTGGGCTGCAGCTTCTCCCAGGGATGCTGTGGGTGTGTGTGCATGTGTGCATGTGCATGTGTGCATTGGGCTGTGGCTTCTCCCAGGGATGCAGTGTGTGTGTGTGTGTGCACGCGTGCATTGGGCTGCGGCTTCTCCCAGGGATGCTGTGTGTGTGTGGGTGTGTGTGTGTGCACGCATGCACTGGTCTGCGGCTTCTCCCAGGGATGCTGTGTGTGTGTGGGTGTGTGTGTGTGTATGCACGTGTGCACTGGGCTTCGGCTTCTCCCAGGGATGCTGTGTGTGTGTGGGTGTGTGTGCGTGTGCATGTGTGCATTGGGCTGCGGCTTCTCCCAGGGATGCTGTGTGTGTGCGTGTGCATTGGGCTGCGGCTTCTCCCAGGGATGCTGTGGGTGTGTGTGCGTGTGCATGCATGCATGGGAGCAGACTCCACGCATGCCAGTTCTAACGGGCTTCAACAACACCTGAGCTCTGCTGGAGCACGTGCTGTTTCCAATGGGAGCGAACGTGTTTCCTGTCACTCCAGCTGATTGATCTGAATATCAGGGAATCGATGTCATGTGATTTCTTTTGTAGGAAGAGAGGGAGGAGAGACAAAGGGAAGAGAAGGGGAAGGGAGGGGTGAGGAAGGGAAGACAGATGGGAAAAATCACACCCTCGTTGGTTGTGAGGAGCACAAAAATTGCCGTTGTCAGAAGTGCCGATGAGGTCTGCCTCCAGCCCCGCTGGCCTCCGGAGCCCTGAGAAATTCCCACGGACCGTCCAACGCGATGGAGACTTTGTGCGGTGACTGTGGCTCACGTGAGGCGCTCGCAAGGACGGTTTCCCACTTGCGTGATTCCTTGTCCTGAGTTATGGGAAACGCTTTCGAGTCTGGGGTTTTTTCAGATTGTGTCTGAAGAGTGAAGGCTATTTATTAAAATAGTGTGGAGTAAACCACCCAATTTGACCATGACTTTAGGGTGAGAACGTGTGTGTCTGTATGAATGTATGTATGTGTTGTGTGTGCACATGCGTGTGTGTGTGTGAATGTGTGTGTTGTGGGTGCACACGCATATGTGCAAGGGTGGTTGTGTGTAGTGAACCTGTTGCTGTTAGCTGCCTGCTCAGGTGTGACCATTCTCATGCCGTTCCGTTATTTCTTTTTTGGTAGAAGTCAAGTGCCTATGACTTTCCAGGCCACAGTCCTTGGCAGGGTGTGTATTTAGAGGTAAACATGCCTGGAGACCTGTGTGTGTGGACAGAGAGAGGGGAGGAGCCCCGGCTATAGACGATGCCCCACAAACACATCCGAGGCTTGGATGACGACTTCCCAGCTGTGTGATCAAAACTCCCGGGATCTGGGGCTGGGACGGAGAATTATGCATGGAGATCCTCACTCTCAGCGTGTCAGCGTGAAGTCTGATGTTTAATTGAACATCTGTCTGCCTTTAATATGAACCTCATTATTAAGCTTACATGTGACTGTCTCTTTGCTTGTATTCTCAGATCTTAGGAGATCTTTAAAAAATTGATTTATAAACCAGAAAAAGAGACATTCTTGGTCACACTTACCTGAATACGAAGTGAGGATGGGGGCTCTGCATACCCTGCTGTGGGAAGCATGGCGAGAGGCAGGTGAAGTGAGGATGGGGGCTCTGCATACCCTGCTGGGGGAAGCATGGCGAGAGGCAGGTGAAGTGAGGATGGGGGCTCTGCAGACCCTGCTGTGGGAAGCATGGCGAGAGGCAGGTGAAGTGAGGATGGGGGCTCTGCAGACCTTGCTGGGGGAAGCATGGCGAGAGGCAGGTGAAGTGAGGATGGGGGTTCTGCAGACCCTGCTGTGGGAAGCATGGCGAGAGGCAGATGAAGTGAGGATGGGGGCTCTGCAGACCCTGCTGGGGGAAGCATGGTGAGAGGCAGGGTTTTTGGTCTTAAGGAATTGATTTGGTTCCCAAAGCCCCATTGGCTAGAAGGTCACTGACTGCCTCATCGTTCGCCTTTCAAAGAGAAGAATGAAACAGCGTCCGGCAGGAGGCGATGTCTGGGGAAGCGTGTGTGTGTCTCCCCATGTGCATGTGTGTCTGTGCATGTGTGTGTGTGGTTGTCTGCCAGCCTGAAGTCCCCTTTTCTGTCATATTCTAGTCCACTGTGATCAACACCAGAGACTCCTCCATCCACTCTCTCCATCGGCCACCTCCTCTCCCTGACCTGCCAGAGGCATCCGTGGAGACCCAGACACTGGGGTTCCTGAGCTGCAGGCCAGCCGCTTCCCAGGCCCGTGCCCCGCCCCCTCCCGACCTCTCCTGGCTCTCTCACCTCAGAGCTCTGGGGGCCGAGCGCCCTGGGACACCCTAAGTGTCTCACCTCGGAGTTCTGGCACCCTGCCTGTCTCACTGTATCAGCATGCGCGGTTCTCTCCTAGGCAGGCACGATTTTATGTTTGTCTGGGAAATGTGACGATCAAGACTGGGTGAGGCCCTTCCAGGTCAGGTGGTCAGGAAAGCGCTCACCAGGAATTGTGTGCAGGCTTCGACGGGGCTGCAGGACCTCTCTGGTCAGAGAATGAATTCAGAGCTGTGGGCTGAGTTTCACTTGTATGTTTTGTTTTTTCCGAAATTGGGCTCGCAGTGGTTCCAGCGTGGGTGTGACTTAGTTCCAGAGGCTCTGGAGGAGGCGGCCTCCCCAAGCAACCGAGCATCCTCCCATAGCTTCTCAGGGCCTCTGCGAGCACCTGAGCGTCCTCCCATAGCCTCTCATGGCCTCCCAAGCATCCTCCTGTAGCCTCTCGTGGCCTCCCGAGCGTCCTCCCGTAGCCTCTCCTGGCCTCCCTAGTGTCCTCCCCTTGCCTCTCTGGTGGAGGCTCAGCGAAGGCTGGCGAGCTGCTGTCCATGGTGCTGGCCATCTGGCCCCAGGGAAAGGGCTTTCGAGAGTGGTGCTCCACGGGTCCTGTCCCCCTCGGCTCATGACGCGCGGTGCATAATCCTGCGGAGACAGCTGGGGCCGCCTCTGTTCCATGGATCATGGGGACCAGGGCCACCTACAACATGGTGGCCTGAATTGCGATTGTGTCTCCAGTGGCGTCGTTTTGAGACTTCTCTTTAATTCTGACTCTTAATTCTGACTCAAGGTCCCCAGAGGGACGGTGACTGAGCCAGTCCCATCTGGGGCTTTGGGGCTACTGCCCCTGGGATGTTTGGGCCCCAGAAGTGAACACTAACCCTTGGAAATCTGCAGGGCTTTCAGACCCCTGCCTTCCTTCTCCACTACCTCTCATCTGGACTCGAGTTCCCTGATTCTCTGCATTTTCACCAGGATGAGCGTGGTTGTGATGGACAAACCTGACTTACGGTTTTATACGCACATCCAGTTATCTCCTTAGAATATATCTTTAGCAGAGAAACTGGGGCTCCTGGGGCTTGGCCATTTTAAAACTTCAGTCAAGTTGCAAATTTGTCCCTTGCAGAGGGGACACCTAATTTGTGCCCAACAAAATGTAGATGAGTCCATGTCATTCACCAGCAACCTGAGTTATCCCACAAAGTCCTTTGCCTTTCTGAGGTCTGATGGGCAGAATTGTCACATTGCCTTAATTAGGCCATCTTTAATTACAAATAAAGTCAAATTTTTCTTCTCTGTGAGTAAATGAGTTGTGGACATTTTTTTCTTCCTGTGCTTTGGGGCCAGGGTGGCCTGAGGAAAGTGCCGGGCACAGGGGCTCTGTCCCTTCATCCTCTTGCCACACAGGACAGTGCTGGCCTTGGGAGACACCAGGCTGAGGCCGGGCGGGCAGGGGCGGCCTCTTCTGCCTCCTCCTCTGGACAGCCCAGAGCTGAGTTAGGAGAGCTGGGGCGATGGAGGTCCAGGAAAGGTGGTGCCTGCTGGTGCAGCTGTGGCTTCTCTGCATTTCTAGTCTGGGCTGGGCTGTTTGTTAATGGAAAAGAGGCCCAGGCTGGGAGGTTGATGGTAGCACAGGTGCAGGGACGGGATGAGTGACAGACAGACGGAGGAAAGATGGAACCCACGATGGGGAAGGGGCTGGGATTCAGGGCCAAGAAACGAAGGGAGGAGAGAAGCGGGGATGAGCTCCATAGGCAGGGTCCAGGCTCAGCGGGAAGAGCTGGGAAGAGGGGGATGAGGGAGAGGCAGGGCTCAGGCAGAGACACAGTGAGGACTGGGCAGTGCCAGCTCAGGTTCTCAGGAGGGCCTGCCCCAGCCAGACCATCTGTGGTGAAGGTGAGCCCACACCTGGCTCCAGGCACTGACCTTCCTGGGGCCCTTGTTGGTATCTGTGTTGGGGGAACACAGATCCATGCCTGCCTAGGATCCCCCAGGAGGGTCCGGGAGTGCCCCCAAGGTCCATGGTGGGCATCTGCTAACAGCCTGTCCTGAGGGCAGGGCTGGCTCCGGGGCTCCAGATCGTCTGTGGCTCAGCTCTCTCTGGAGGGCTGTTTGGGTCTCAGGTCTGAATATTGGAGCCCAGGGCTTCAGTGGAACTGGGCAGTGGGGATTTCTGCCAGGTGTGGATGGCCTGAGCAGCAAGAAAGAGCAAAAGAGGTTTTCACAGCGTCCTTCTCCAGCCAGCTGTGATGGGGTCTGGGCAAGGATGGATGAAGAGTCTGTGGGTTGTCCTGGGGAGGGGTGGACATGGCGTCTGTGGGTCATCCTGGGGGAGGGTGGACGTAGGGTTTGTGAGTCGTCCCAGGTGAGGGTGGACACGGGGTCTGTGGGTTGCCAGGGTGTGGGGTCTGCGCATCATCCTTGGTGAGGGTGGATGCAGGGTCTGTGGGTCACCCCAGGTGAGGGTGGACGCGGGGTCTGTGGGTTGCCAGGGTGTGGGGTCTGCGCATCATCCTGGGTGAGGGTGGATGCAGGGTCTGTGGGTCACCCCGGGTGAGGGTGGACGCGGGGTCTGTGCGTCATCCTGGGTGAGGGTGGATGTGGGGTCTGTGCGTCGTCCTGGGTGTGGGTGGATGTGGGGTCTGTGCGTCGTCCTGGGTGAGGGTGGATGTGGGGTCTGTGCATCGTCCTGGGTGAGGGTGGATGTGGGGTCTGTGCGTCGTCCTGGGTGAGGGTGGATGTGGGGTCTGTGCGTCGTCCTGGGTGAGGGTGGATGCAGGGTCTGTGGGTCACCCCGGGTGAGGGTGGACGCGGGGTCTGTGCGTCGTCCTGGGTGAGGGTGGATGTGGGGTCTGTGCGTCATCCTGGGTGAGGGTGGATGTGGGGTCTGTGCGTCGTCCTGGGTGAGGGTGGATGTGGGGTCTGTGCGTCATCCTGGGTGAGGGTGGATGTGGGGTCTGTGCGTCGTCCTGGGTGAGGGTGGATGTGGGGTCTGTGGGTCATCCTGGGTGTGGGTGGATGTGGGGTCTGTGCGTCATCCTGGGTGAGGGTGGATGTGGGGTCTGTGCGTCATCCTGGGTGTGGGTGGATGTGGGGTCTGTGCGTCGTCCTGGGTGAGGGTGGATGTGGGGTCTGTGCGTCATCCTGGGTGTGGGTGGATGTGGGGTCTGTGCGTCATCCTGGGTGAGGGTGGATGTGGGGTCTGTGCATCGTCCTGGGTGAGGGTGGATGTGGGGTCTGTGCGTCATCCTGGGTGAGGGTGGATGTGGGGTCTGTGCGTCATCCTGGGTGTGGGTGGATGTGGGGTCTGTGCGTCGTCCTGGGTGAGGGTGGATGTGGGGTCTGTGCGTCATCCTGGGTGAGGGTGGATGTGGGGTCTGTGCGTCATCCTGGGTGAGGGTGGATGTGGGGTCTGTGCGTCGTCCTGGGTGAGGGTGGATGTGGGGTCTGTGCGTCGTCCTGGGTGAGGGTGGATGTGGGGTCTGTGCGTCGTCCTGGGTGAGGGTGGATGTGGGGTCTGTGCGTCGTCCTGGGTGAGGGTGGATGTGGGGTCTGTGCGTCGTCCTGGGTGAGGGTGGATGTGGGGTCTGTGCGTCATCCTGGGTGAGGGTGGATGTGGGGTCTGTGCGTCGTCCTGGGTGTGGGTGGACTTGGGATCTGTGGGTTGTCTGGGTGAGGAAGGATGCAGCGTCCGTGTCCCCTTCACACGCTGCTCTTAAGGAGCGCTGTGAGATGTCCCACTGAGGGGCTTGTCTTCTCACTCTCCACAGCTGACATCTCCAGTGTTAGGTCTTGGGCACCAAGGAGGGGCCAAGCTAAGGTGCTGTATATTAAAAACTGTCAGAGGAAGAAGGCCATTCCATCAGGAATGCCTTCTTCAGGCATCTGGGCTCTCGCTTGGGCTGCCATTCTTAATCATGTTTTAATTTTCAAATAAATTGCTTTCATTATCCGTTCATCGACAACACCACGTGTACATTACTGCTCATTAATGTTTGTCAGCTACTGTGCTGAGGCTGGGTTTTTAAATAGCCATGGTCACGGTGCAGTAATTAATGATGACCCATGTTGGTTTTACAGAATTATTATTATGTTTAATCTTTGAAAAAACAACCTAGAGTGTCGCGGTGTTGCTGAAAGTTGTCCTCAGGCTGCAAATCTTTGAAGGCCGCAGGAGTCCTTGGGCAGGCCTTCGTGTTGACCTGGGAGCAGTCCTTTTATGGCTCCAGCTGGGTCCCCCCGGCTGGCCGAGCGGAGTGCCTGGGTGGCACTGAGGACCACCTTTCCTTTGTGACTGTGTGTTGGCCTCGCCAAATGACCTCTTGGCCAATGTGATACCAAATTAAGTTTCTTGAAAAAACATCCATTATTTAAAGCATTCATTTCGTGCTTGAGGTCTGATCCTGTTCAAATCAGAAGCCAAGACATTTTCAACGTTAGTGATGGTCGCCTCTGTAGACTTGTGTCTGGTTAAAGTTGTGAGTATTGATAGCGTCTTCCCACCTGTGCGTGAATCACTTTGGATTTCTGGGGTCTGAGCAGGGACTCGCCGGCCATGGCCTTGCTGATGGGGCCTCCCAGATGCTGCCTGCCTTCCTGTGGTTGGATTAGCTATGCTGGGGCCTTGAGGTCATGCTCATCATCAACCTCATAGTCCAGACTCCTTAGAGT
Organism: Homo sapiens; assembly: GCF_000001405.40. Classification (NCBI taxonomy): domain Eukaryota; kingdom Metazoa; phylum Chordata; class Mammalia; order Primates; family Hominidae; genus Homo; species Homo sapiens. Next base: position 118,156 of record NT_187560.1, read on the forward strand.
GGGGATGGCGTCCCTCCCATCCAGTTTCTCATTTATTCAGTAAACCTTTTATCACTTCTTAAAGACTTTCAGTAACTTATACATAAGAATGACCATTTTAACCATTTAGGGATATAGTTCAGTGGTATAAAGGATATTCACACTGCTGTGTAGCCATCACCACCATCCACCTGCCAACTTTCTATTCCAAACAGAACCTCTGTGCGCATTAATGCTGACTCCCCCTCCCCAAGGCCCTGGCTGCACTCAGTGTACCTTCTGTGAACCTGACCATCTGGGGGCCACGTATCAGTGCAATCGGAGCATGTGCCCGGCTGCAGCCGAACGCTAAAGGCAGCACCGCGTGCTCAGGGCTGGTGCAGGTGTGGACTGTGTCAGCGTCTCCTTCCTTTCTGAGGCTGAGTCCCATTCTGTCGTGTAAATAGACCACGTTCTGTTTCTCCACCCCTCAGCTGCTGGGCGCCTGGGTTGTTTCTGTGTCTGGCTTCTGTGAATAACATGCTGTGTGCGTGGGGGTACATACACGTATTTCTTTGAGTCATTGCTTTCAAGTCTGGTAAATTTTCATGAAACCATTTCCGTCGGCCGAATATTGTGATAACTGGGCTTTCAGTGTGTCTCTGGAGGCCAGGAAGGGCAGAGCCGCCTGCAGCCCTCCTCCAGCCCATCCTTCTGAGAATGGCTGAGCTTCCAGGCCATGCTCCTGAAAAAGGTGAAGCTGAGGGCAGGAAAGAGGGCCCCCCATGGCTACCTCAGCCCACGCCCCTCCCACCAGTTTAAGACCAGGCCGGAAGAAAGGTGGGCGTAGGGCGTCTCAGGTCTCCCTGTGGTTGGTTTGGGGCAGCCTCCCGAGGCTTGCTGGGCACCCAGTCCCCGCCTGCAGGGGTGAGCCGGGCTGCTGTTCCCACTGTCCTGGGCTGAGTTCATGTATTCGAGTAACTCACAAAGTTGGGCCTTCCATTCTAAGGAGCCACCTTAAGCCTTGTGGGAGGGCCAGAGAGAGAAAAAGAGAGAGACAGAGACAGAAAGAGAGAAACAGAGACATGCACACACAAGGGGAGGGGAGGAGCCCCATGCACCCCTGATTGTAAGTGTGTCCCCTACTTTGCCCTTGGCTTGGCCGGGGCCCTCTAGTTGGTGGTGGGACGGTGAGCCAGAGTTGAGGGCTGGCGGCTGGGTTCTGAGAGCCGCCACTGTCCCAATGGGACACCCCTGCTGGACGCAATGCGCCTCCTGCCTTGTGAGCTTCCTGCCCTGGGACCAGGCCCTTCTTTCTCCCCGGAATGGTCCCTGGAACCTTACGGGACATAAGAGCTGGGTCCCGGTTGCTTGGCAGTGGCTGCTACAGGCTTGCTGATGGCTGACGGCTGCACAGATAAGCTGCCTTCCTCCTCTCCTGCCGCTTTTCTTAGCACCCGCAGCTGACGGTGCCTGTGTGACGCCCTCAGTGATTTGGGTGGGCCTGGGCTGCGCAGCAAATGCAGGTTGCCCAGCACCCTGAAGGCCAGTGTTGGGCCAGCCCCTGGCCTTGTCCGGGGTCTGGCCTTGGGGTGAGCATAGCCTGGCGTCTACCGAGCAAGCCAGGAAGCCACCATTTGTGTCTGTGATGGAGGCACCTCCTGTCACCTCCACAGAAAGAGTCAAAACCACCCCTGAAATCACTGAGGTGCTGCCACAGGGCGTCAACGACAGCCTGGCCCTCGCCTTTGGGTGGTGCCGCTGGGCCAGGGAACCCACAGACCTGCCGCAGAGGCCTGCAAGCCGGGCACCCACTGCCGGGCGTCGTTTTGTCTCCTTTCTCTTTTATGTAATGTGGATGCTTTCCCCCAGTAAACTCTACCTGCAAACAAGCCCCGTGTTCACATCATTCGTCCGGTTCCTCTTCCGTCCTCAAATCTTGGTTTCTATTTTCTGGTTGTTTGCACAGGACCATGGAATTTCGGAATTGGAGATGTTCCTGCCATTGGGTTCCACTCTGTTACTTGCAGAAAAACTAACTCTGCAGTCCAGAGAGGCCTGGTAGCCAGACGGAGGCCGCTCTCCCGGCCAGCACAGAGCCCACCTGACCCTGTGCTGGGGCCCAGGATCTTCCCAGCCACAGTTTCGATGATGATCGTGATGGGTTTTACTTGGTCCCCAGAAGCTTTCTCCCAGTCAGTCCATTTCTCCTGATTTCCCCATAGAAAAGCTAAGAGAAAATTTATCAGAAATTATTTCTACTTTTTTTTTTTTAGCTCTTTTCACCTTTTGCTTTGTTATGTTATGAATTGTGACCTATCTGGCCCCTCAAATAAAATGTGGGCTCCTTGCAGCACAGGCTCTGTCTGGCTGATCTTTGTATTTTCTTTACGCACAGCGCTCAGCATGGTGCCTGGATGGTGGTGCCTGCTCAGCATCAGCCTGTTTATTTAAGAGGTGTGCATGGGGTTCTTATCTGCCGGGTGGGAAGCCCTGTGCTCCACAGATTGCTGGCAGTGTTGGGTGAGGACTTCACCACTGTTGTTTTTGATTATGTTCAACTTTCCTTGTCCAAAAAAACCCAAGGAAGCAACAAAAAGATACTCTATGAGTTGATGAATTTGAAGTGGGAATGTGATAGGGAAGGAAAAAGAAGCAAATGTTCCCACAAGGTCAACAGAGTTCCTGCAACTAAGCCTTAAGGTTGCCTTTGAGCTCCCAGAATTCAGGATGAAAGGGGAAAAAGATAAGTTGAGTGGGGCTTTATAAATAAAAAATGCATGTAGTAGGTTAGACAAAGGGAAATGAGTGACTTGTTGGTTATTTTAGATTCCCGAGGAAATTTTTGTCAACAGTGATGACCAGCTTGTATTGTCTTTATTTTCAGAAATGGCAGTCTTTTACATTGGATGTCCTTTATCCCAACTGTGAAAACTTTAATCATTTACTTAAATACCATAAAGACAGCCAAGAAGACATTTTCCATTGATTTATATGTGTGTGAAAACTCATTGTGAAAAAACTTGTAATTTTCCATAATAATAAAAAAGCTTTGATTGAGGGCTCAATCACTGTGGGCCCATGACGGCTGCTAGGCTGGGTGGTGGCGCCTGGAACCACATTCTGTTTCGAGGGCAGATAAGCAGAGAGGCAGCAGGGTCATCATCAGCCTTTGGCAAGAACAGCCTTCCCGCATCCCCACGTGGAGGATTCGCATCTGCCTGTGAGCGAGGTCTCACCCCATCATCTTGGGGTTCACGCTCACGCTCTTCCCCTGCGTTCCCTGGATGCTTCCTTCAGGCTGGCTCCTGTGCACGCAGATTCTCCCTGTTGCCATCTGGTGGTGAGTACTGGGTTTTGGATGCAGCCAGTGTAGTTCTGCAGAGTCCAGCAAATGAGGGGACTCTGTCCTGGCTCATAAGGACATCCCTCTGCACTGCTGCGGGCTTCTCCACTGCGTGCTTCTGGGGCCCAGCCTGCCTGACTGCTCCTGCCTCTCCTGCCGTTGTTGCTGGTGGCCAGCCCATTGCAGGGCTGCACTGCAGTTGCATTTCCTCAGTTCTCTGTTGACACAAACGGACAGATGACACAGTGTGAGCAGCTGGCAGGAGAGTGAGAGAGAGGCAGGCAATGTTCACAGCTCACAAAAGCTAAATTACAGACACTTATGCTGCAGCACCCTAGCTATCATCATGCAAACACAGAACATTTGATTGGAAAGGATCCTAGAAAATACCGAATTCATTGGTCTCAATTTAGGAAATGGAAGCACAGAGAAGTGAAGTGATTTGCCCAAGTTTGCACAGCAGGCTGGTGGCAAGGTGGAATGAGAATCTGCCCTCTTAGTGCCCCATTCGATGTATTTTTGTTCTTTCTGAATGAAGAGATCTCTTCAGCATTTATTGTAAGGTGGGTTTGGTGGTGATGAATTCTCTCAGCTTTTGTTCGTCTGGGAAAGAATTTATCTCTTCTTTGTATTTGAAGGGTAGCTTTGCTGGATACAGTATTCTTGGGTGACAGATTTTTTTTTTTTTTCCTTTCAAGACTCCGAAAGTATCATCCCATTTTCTCCTGGTCTGTATGTTTTCCATTGAGATGTCTGTTGACAAACAAATTGGAGCTCCTTTAGATGTTATTTGCTTCCTTTGGGGTCTTCTCTTTGCCCTTGAGCTTTGACAGTTTAATTATTAAAAGCCTGAGGTGGTCATATTTGGGTTGAATCTGGTGTTCTCTGACTTTCCCGAATCTGGTTATCTATACCTTTCTCAAGTTTCAGAAAGTTTTCTGTTACTGTTTCTTTGAGTAAGCTTGGTACCTCTTGTTCTCACTCAGCTCCCTCTTGAACACCAGTAATTCTTGGATTTGGTGTTTTGAGGTAATTTTCTCTATCTTGTAGGTTGTCTTTCATTCTTTGTTCTTTTTCCTCCTCTGATTGTGTATTTGAGCTCACTGATTCTTTCCTCTGCTTAAGCCACTCTGCTGTTGGGAGCTTGTCATGAATTTCCTCATTTCGCTAAATGTATTTTTGTTTCAAGACTTCTGTCTGATTTTTAAAAATTATTTCAATCTGTTGTTAACTTTCTGAATTGATTTCCTGGTGTTATCTTGGGGATCACCGAGTTTCCTTAGGGCTGCCATTTTGATTTCTTGATGAGAGCTCACAAATCGCCACTTTGTTGGGCCAGTCACTGGTTCTTGGCTTTGTCCGTTTGGGGAGGCCATGGTCCCGTCTGCTGCTTTCTGGTTTGTTGATGTGTGTCTGTGTCTTGGCACTGAACGGTTATTTATTTATCTCTTCTCTGTCTGGGTGTTTTGGTTTTTCTGGGGTATGTTTGCTTAAAGATTCTTTGTGATTTACCTGTGGAGTGTTTTCTTGCTAGGTTGCAGCCTCCTTTTTGGCACTAGATGGCGCCTTAAGCCCAGGTTCAACTCAGCTCTGGTCACTGATGAAAGTGCTGCCTGTCCCAAAGCAGATGTCCCAAAGGGGATGTCCTGATAACGTGGGAAGGCTGGGAGGGGACCTGGGAGCACAGGTCCTGCAGCGTGGGGCTGCGAGTGGCCACTCTGATTGAGTGCCTCCTTTGGCCGAGTTGCAGAGCAGAGTTTCCAGGGCTGGGGACAGTAGCCCCACCCCCACCTTTGTCTCTGGCCATCCTCAGGGCTGTTTCTCCCTTCAGGCACTCAGGATGCTCCCCATGGGTTGAGGCAGGGAGAGGTCTCCTGCCAGGGCACCCAAGAGCAGGGCAAGCTGTTGTTATCTCACCTTTCTAAGTGTAGAAACTGTGTCAAGGGAAAATCTTTTGTGTACTGGATGCCAGGCAGGTTATGGGGAGGGGCCTTGCAGATGTGGGGGTCTGGTTCTCCTGCTGTCTGTCTGTTCGGGGTTTTTCTGTTCCTGGTGGCCCCAGGACCTGACTCATCCTCACCTCTGGGTTCTCAGATGTTGCTGGTGACCATCTCAGCATCTCAGCACTGCATGTTTGCTTTCAGGTTTCTGCTGGGGTGGTGAGACAGCTTGCTCCTGTCCTGCCGTTTGGAACCAGAAACCCCATTTCAATTGCTGTTTTCTCATTGTCCTTTAATAGAACTCAGAAGACAGCAGATGGTTTTAGGTGTGTATGACAAGTGTGGTCTTAGGCAAATGTAAAGTAAGCTTTCAGCCATAACTTCAACATTGTGCTTAGCAAGTGAATGTCCACTCATAGTTTTAGGACTTGTTTACATGAGTCCTGGATTTTATAAAGCCCCGAGTGATGTGTCATCTTTTGACTCTGACCTTAACTTCTATTGTGTTGTTTTCTATTAAGGAAAACAGTGGGATGCTAGAGTGCCCCATCAGGGCCAAGAGTGAGGACCACATCTGCATCGTGGTATTGGATGATGTGGTGTGAGGCAGGGGGTGCTCCCAGTGGGCAGCACGGCTGTGGAGGACCTCAGTTTTCTTATTTGTAAAATGAAGGGTCCTGAGTGAAATACATGCTGCTGTTCTCTTCAACTTCTGATAAAAATCTTGATTATTCTAAATACTAACAGGGTGTGATCTGTTGGCCTGCTGTTAGGAGACCCGGAATAGGAGCGAGTGTCTGGCCTATTGGCCCAGGGTGGCCTGAATGTAACTGGGTGGCCTGGTGCAGGCCCTGGTGCGGCGAAAGCAGCTGCCATGTTCCAGAAACAGAGTAACAGGCAGAGAGAGCCAGGCAGCTGCAGCTCAGAAAGGTTAATGTCTCCATTCGAAAAATCTATCTCTGCTCTCACCTGAAACATTTAGATTGAAGGGATTGAAAGCTATATTTGGTAATTCTAAGAGAGAGTTTTCTTTGCAGGGAAGGGCTAAGAGCTTTGAGGCTCAGGTGTGATTCGTTTTTGTCAATCAATATTGTACTCAGGATTACCAATACCAGCCTACCCCAATTACGCCTCTCTGAAATGTGTGGGGCCCAGAGCCTTCTATTCCTAGCTGCACGATGCTTCTGCTGCCTGACCTCACCTTCAGGGGGCAATAAGAAGTTTAATCCAGCCACGAATCGGCTGCAGCACGGGAGGGGCCTGACCCACCTCAGGGTCCAGGCATCATCACAGGAGGGTGAAGCAGCCATTCTAATGCACTTCTGGAAAATGCCTATCGAAGCTGATCCTTGGGTCCTGCTGTGTGCTTGTGTAAGTTTGCTCCAGAGTAGCTGGCCAGGGAGGGGAGTGGTCAGGAGGGGAGCGGACAGGAGGGGAGCGGTCAGGAGGGTAGCTGGCAGGGAGGGGAGCAGTCAAGAGGGGAGCAGACAGGAGGGGAGTGGACAGGAGGGGAGCAGTCAGGAGGGGAGCGGACAGGAGGGGAGCGGACAGGAGGGGAGCAGTCAGGAGGGGAGCAGTCAGGAGGGGAGCGGACAGGAGGGGAGCGGTCAGGAGGGGAGCAGTCAGGAGGGGAGCGGACAGGAGGGGAGCGGACAGGAGGGGAGCGGTCAGGAGGGGAGCGGACAGGAGGGGAGCGGACAGGAGGGGAGCGGACAGGAGGGGAGCGGTCAGGAGGGGAGCGGACAGGAGGGGAGCGGTCAGGAGGGGAGCGGACAGGAGGGGAGCGGACAGGAGGGGAGCGGTCAGGAGGGGAGCGGACAGGAGGGGAGCGGTCAGGAGGGGAGCGGACAGGAGGGGAGCGGACAGGAGGGGAGCGGACAGGAGGCGAGCAGACAGGAGGGGAGCTGGGCTGGGAGTGGGTGGTCAGAAAGGTGCACTTTCTTCTCAGTACTTCCTGTTCTGCTACCTTTGTAGTAACCAGCTCTTCTGATGGCCAGAGTTCAAGCCCCCCTGAATGAAAATGATATCTGTCACTCAGAAGGCTCCTCCCGTGGGGCCGTGACTGGCTGTGGACTGGCCCGGCTGCCTGCATGCCAGGGCAGGTGTTCACATGGAGTTGTTGAGTTGCACTCTCTTGCCCTTGAGAAGGATGAGGCGTTAATAAGGTCATTCCTTCTGCCATTTCACTCGTAGGTAACCATGTTTCGTGTAGTAAGAAACGCGGGGCTAAAGTGCCCGTAATGTTTTAGCATTCTTTAAAAGGCCACTTACTTTCACAAATGGGAGTTTTGAGTGACTGTGTCGGCTGCTGTGTGAGCAACGAAGGAAAGCAGGTACAGTGTACGAGTCGCCCCAGACAGCTGCAGGCCTGCAGGGAGCCCTGGGCTTAGACTGTGCCCAACAATTAGGAACCCAAAAGGGACTCAGGGATGGGGCCCAACTGAGGGTGGCTCATGGGGTGCAGTAGGAGGGAGCTGGGGAATAGTGTGCAGTGGCCAATGGTGCCAGCGGGTGAGTCCCCCTCCTGGACCCTCCTTCTGAAGGGGCAGAACCCCTGGGGGTGGGTGGAGGTGGTAGCACGAGTTCCTCCTGCACCTCACCCGTGCCCTCGAGGTGGCGAGAGATGCCGTCGGTGAGGTCCTTCTGCCTCCCGCATAACAGTTTGATGCTGACACATCAACACAGCATTCCCCAAAGCAGCTTTTCATTTCGTAATGGGATAACTGTGGGCTCTGGAAGAGGCTCAGGTGTGCCGTTGTTCTCTGCAGGGATTTCCAGGCAGTTGACGGAACTGGCACCTGAATGGGCCACAGGTGTGCCGGGTGGGATTTGGAAACGCTGGGGGAGAGAATGAGCTTTGGTAAACAGCAGACAAATTGATTTGTATTCCAACATTTTTTTCCCTTTTGGAAAATCAGGGTTTTTTCTGCCTTTGGCATTTTGTTGATAGCCTAGAATCCAGCTACTTGCTCCTTCTGGGTCTGTTTCCTCATCTGAACTGTGAGGCTGGGTGAGGTGAGGCGAGGCACTGGCCTGGCCGGTGATGAGCGACTGATCCACTGGGCGTGGATCCAGTGGCCGGCAGGAGGCAGGGGCTCTCCTGTCCCTAGGGCACCTTAGGCAGCAGCTCTGGCACCTTCCTTCCTGCACAGCCTGGCTCACAGGCAGCCCTGAGATCCAATGGGGTGATGGGGACAAATGTGTTATGGGACTCTAAGTCACTATTTGTCTCCAGCTCCCTCACCCCCAGGAGTTTCAAAATCATTGAAGACAAAATTGACAGGCAGATTCTGGGTGCAGACGGCAGTCAGACACCAGAAGCAGGCCCGCAGTCAGCATCTTCTGAGCAGCCTCTCCATCCTTCTGAGGTTTCATTCCAACCTCCCTGCACTTCCTGGGTGAAGCAGGTACCCTGTACATGTTTCCTGGGAACACGGCAACCAGCCAGTCCTGCCCCTGCTTGGGAAAGAGCCGCCTGTTTCAGTGGAGTTTGTTCCTGCCAGAGGGAGCGGAGATGGAAGTGCCGGCTGATGTTGAGCATCTCTCCTCGGGCAGCAACTCTTAGGGCCTCAGGGTCAATGCTCAATGGAGCCTCCATCTGTGGGGCTTTTGAGTAACAATCAGGTGAACATGCCAGGGCCTTCTTTTTACCCATGTCTTGGTACAGATCCCATACATCTTGGTGCAGCCATTCTGTTTGAGGATGTTTTAGGGGAGACACAGGATGCTGCAATCCACTTTACTGAGCACCTTTTGCCGGAAGGAATCCGTGCTGTATCCTGTGACCTAGTCTGCAAAGGGGAACACGTGAGCGCTAGTAACGCCCTTGTTCTTGGACATCAGGAAGGGGGTGGGCCTCATGTGGCCCGGGGGGCCCTCAGGGACCACCCAGGGAGCACAGTGACGTGGGCCATCCTCAGCACTGCCCTCAGGGGCCACCCAGGGGTGCAGTGATGTGGGCCACCCTCAGCACTGCCCTCAGGGACCACCCAGGGGTGCAGTGACGTGGGCCACCCTCAGCACTGCCCTCAGGGACCACCCAGGGAGCACAGTGACGTGGGCCATCCTCAGCACTGCCCTCAGGGGCCACCCAGGGGTGCAGTGACGTGGGCCACCCTCAGCACTGCCCTCAGGGACCACCCAGGGGTGCAGTGACGTGGGCCACCCTCAGCACTGCCCTCAGGGACCACCCAGGGGTGCAGTGACGTGGGCCACCCTCAGCACTGCCCTCAGGGACCACCCAGGGGTGCAGTGACGTGGGCCACCCTCAGCACTGCCCTCAGGGACCACCCAGGGGTGCAGTGACGTGGGCCACCCTCAGCACTGCCCTCAGGGACCACCCAGGGGTGCAGTGACGTGGGCCACCCTCAGCACTGCCCTCAGGGACCACCCAGGGGTGCAGTGACGTGGGCCACCCTCAGCAGTGCCCTCAGGGACCACCCAGGGGTGCAGTGATGTGGGCCACCCTCAGCACTGCCCTCAGGGACCACCCAGGGGTGCAGTGACGTGGGCCACCCTCAGCACTGCCCTCAGGGACCACCCAGGGAGCACAGTGACGTGGGCCATCCTCAGCACTGCCCTCAGGGGCCACCCAGGGGTGCAGTGACGTGGGCCACCCTCAGCACTGCCCTCAGGGACCACCCAGGGGTGCAGTGACGTGGGCCACCCTCAGCACTGCCCTCAGGGACCACCCAGGGGTGCAGTGACGTGGGCCACCCTCAGCACTGCCCTCAGGGACCACCCAGGGGTGCAGTGACGTGGGCCACCCTCAGCACTGCCCTCAGGGACCACCCAGGGGTGCAGTGACGTGGGCCACCCTCAGCACTGCCCTCAGGGACCACCCAGGGGTGCAGTGACGTGGGCCACCCTCAGCAGTGCCCTCAGGGACCACCCAGGGGTGCAGTGACGTGGGCCACCCTCAGCACTGCCTCCTCCTGAGGGAGGGTAATGATGGAATCTGTCCAGGAGGCTCCAGGATGGGGATGGAATGAGTGAGTGGGGATTAGCATCCCAGAACTGTTCACCTTGTTGGGGCAGGAGACACAGTGACGGTCTCTTTGAGAAGTCCTGTGCTGTGGTGGTTAGGATTCGGGCCTGTGGCCATCACCATACCTCACAACTGAGCATGAAAACTCTGTGAGGGAGGGAAGGACCTCAGGTGTTGGGGGCCTGGCCCAGCTCAGCACTCAGGACTGCAAGTGACAGAAGCCAACACAGACTCACGTGGGGCATACTGGACTGTGAATGGGGACCCCAGGGTGGCTCTGGGGCTGTGAATGGGGACCCCAGGGTGGCTCTGGGGCTGTGAATGGGGACCCCAGGGTGGCTCTGGGGCTGTGAATGGGGACCCCAGGGTGGCTCTGGGGCTGTGAATGGGGACCCCAGGGTGGCTCTGGGGCTGTGAATGGGGACCCCAGGGTGGCTCTGGGGCTGTGAATGGGGACCCCAGGGTGGCTCTGGGGCTGTGAATGGGGAACCCAGGGTGGCTCTGGGGCTGTGAATGGCGAACCCAGGGTGGCTCTGGCACAGTGGCCGGGATCTGCAGCATCTCCCCGCTGCTTTTGTCTCCAGTTTCTCTCTCTTTGTGTGGTGTTGGGATGGCTGCTTGTCCACCTGTTCACTCCTGTTCACAGGGCTTAGCAACCAATCTGCATGAAAAGAGAGAATCTTCCACCAGAGAAAAGCATGTAGGAGGGGGCCGTGGTTTGGAATGGGTCAGGGCCTGCACCTGACCAGTGACTGGGCAGGGAATGAGATGTTCTTGTGGCTCCTGGGCCGCAAGGGAGCAAGTTTAGGGATTGACAGCCATCCTAGGATACCACAACAGCAGAGGGGGCACCCCCAGGAATGCAAGGCCCTTGACAAGCAAATGCCACAACCTCCATGGTTCACTCAAGAAGGTGAGTGCTGCCACTAAAAAAATGTGTGACTGCAATAGATAGGAATTAATTTAACCCAGACGGTGAGACCTGTACACTGAAAACTATGAGATGGTGAAAGAAATGGAAGACAAGGCAAATAAATAGAAGGTATCCCATGTTCATTGATTGAAAGAATTAATATTGTTAAAATGTCCGTACTACCTAGAGCAATCTATAGTTTCAGTGCAACCCCTATCAAAATTCCAATGGCATTTTTTTTACAGAAATAGAAAAGCAATCCTAAAATTCATATGGAACCACATAAAACCCTGAATAGCCAAGGCAATCAGGAGCCAAAGGAACAAAGCTGGATGCATCACACCACCTGATTTCAAAATATACTATGAAACTATAATAACCAAAACAACGTGGTACTGGCAACAACAAAACAAAATAGACACATCAACTAATGGAACAGAATAGAGAGCCAGGAAATGAATCCATGCATTTATGCTCAATTCATTTTCAGCAAAAGTGGCAAGAACACATAATGGGAAAAGGACAGTGTCTTCAATAAATGGTGCCAGAAAAACTGGATATCCACATGCAGAAGAATGAAATTAGAACTTATCTCTCACCACATACAAAAACTCAAAAGGGATTAAAGACTTAAATTTAAGACCTGAAACTGTAAAACTACTAGAAGAAATCACAGGGCAAAATGACATAACATTATCCTGGGCAACAATTTTTTTTATTTGATCCCCAAAGCACAGGCAACAAAATCAAAAATAAACAAATGGGATTATATCAAATACAAAGCTCTACACAGCAAACAAAACAGTTAGCAGAGTGCACAGACAACCTAAGGATGGGGAGAAAATATTTGCAAGCTGTACATCCAATAAGGGCTTAATATCCAAAATATATAATAAGCTCAAACAACTCAATAGCATGAAAATGAAAAACCCAATTAAAAGACAGGTAAAGAATCTGAGTAGATATTTCTCAAAAGAAGACATAAAAATGGCCAACATGTATGTGAAAAGATGCTCAACTGTGCTAATCATTAGGGAAATGCAAATCAAAACCACAATGGGATATCATATCACACCTGTTAGAATGGCTATTATTAAAAAGACAGCAAGTGTTGGTGAGGAAGTGGTGAAAAGGGAAATCTTGTGCACTATTGGGAATCTAAATCGGTACAGTCATTATGGAGAACTGTATGGAGGCCTCTCAAACAACAAACTACCATATCATCTAGCAATCCCACTATGAGGTATTTATCCAAAGGAAGTAAAATCAGCATGTTGAAGAGAGATCTGCACCCTCATGTTTACTGCAGCACTGTCCACAATGGCCATGACATAGAATCAACCTAAATGTCCATCGACAGATGGATGGATAAAGACACAGTGGGATACTATTCAGTCTTAAAAAGGAAGGAATTCTGTGATTTCCAGCATCATGGATGGAATTGGAAAGCATTACGCTGAGTGAAATAAGCCAGGCACAGAAAGACAAATACCGCATGATCTTACTCATATGTGGAACTGAAAACAATTGAACTCACAGTAGCAGAGAGTAGAACTGAGGTCGCCAGAGGCCAGGGGTGGAGGGAATGGGGAGATAACAGGTGGAGGGCACAAATCTCAGGGGCAATTTTTTGAGTTCGATTGTACAGTGTGATGAAGATAACAGTAGACGGTTATACATCTCAAAACTGCTGAGAGAACAAATTCCAAATGTTTTTGCCACAAAAATGTTAAGTATTTGAAGTGATGGATATGTTAACTAGCTTGATTTAATTATTCCACATTGTATTCATAAATCATAGCATTGCCTTGTACCCATTGATATGGTTTGGCTCTGTGTCCCCACCCACATCTCACCTTGAGTTGTAATCCCCAGCGTTGGGGAGGGACCTGGTGGGAGGTGACTGGATCATGCGGGTGGTTTCCACCACGCTGTTCTCGTGATAGTGAGGGAGTTCTCATGAGAGCTGATGGTTTAAAAGTGTAGCACTCCCCCCACCCCCACTCCTTCTGCCGCCTCAGGAAGAAGGTGCTTGCTTCTCCTTCGCCTTTTGCCATGACTAGTTTCTTGAGGCCTCCCCAGCCCTGTGGAACTGTGAGTCAATTAAATCTCTTTTCTTCAAAAATTACTTAGTCTTGGGTAGTTCTTTATAGCTGTGTGAAAATGGACACCCATATATATATACAATTGTAAATTATAAAATGTGTGTGACCAAGTCATTTTGCTTCCTCAGCCTCAGTTTCCCCACCTGGGATGAGTGGACGGCATTGGAAAGCTCTGGGTGACCACTGCTGCCACACCAGCTTTGGCCCCAGCTTGTAGCTTCAGGAGGTTTTTCCACGGGGGTGGAAGACCCTGTCTCCTTCTACCTGGGGCTTCCAAAACCGGTGGCCTTTGTCTTTGTTCTTTCTCTTGCTCCACCCTGCTCAAAAATACAAGTCCTCCTGAGCCTCCGAAGCTTACTCTTCATAAAACCCTCTGTGGCCTCCTATAAGAACACGCTGTCTCCAGACAAAGCTCTGGTTACCAGAGTAGCCCACAAAAAACCCAAATTAAGACAAAACCCAAAGTAAGACAAAAAACCTGTCTTCCCGTTGGCCAGGAGACAGGCAGTTAGGTTTTCTCTCCTTGTTAACGTCTAGTCACTCAGATGACTTCTTTAGTTTCAAGGCTCTGCTGGGAGGGGTGTTTATGCCATCATAGTTGAGCAGACATAGGCCTAGACCATCAGTCACGTGGACTGTGGGGGTCCTGCCAGGACTGCTCCCAGGCAGCAGGGTCCACCCTCAGAGATGGAGCACTGGGGCCCAACATTTTATCCTCCAGAATTTCTCCCGCCCACTGCGGTCCCAGGTGTCCGCACCATACTTTCCCTCCATGGCCTAACTGAGGCCTTGGGTCCAAGCTGTCTTCTGCCTAAAGCTCTGTTTTGGGTATCGTCCATCAGCTTCTGGGTTCTCACCTCACAGGGCTGACAGGACATGTGCAAACCAACAGGGAAGCAGTGATTTCCAGGGAAACAGATGCACAAGCTGGTGCCTGATTTCTCATCAGAGGAGTGCCAGGGTCCCCTGGGCCCCTCTCCTAAACCCACCGATGAAAGGTGCTGGGGTCTGTTCCTGCACATTGCAAATCGTGCACCGTCAGAGCGTCATTTCTGTCAGGACTGAGCTTGGGGAGAGCGACCACCTCCAGCAACACAGCCTCACTTGTTCTTTCTTGGTGGGTTACGTGTGGGACCTCTTTGATTTTTACATCTCACTCATTCTTGGGCTAGAAAAGTCTGGTTTTCCACGTTTTATGCGATTCCAGATTCCTGTGTGGCATTTCAGCCCAGACTCCAGGGTGTCTTGTATTAAATGCCGGCGAGTATAATTAGCATTCAAGACCTGGGTGCAAGGCGTTGCAAGTGTTAATTTAACAGGAAATTATGTGTCTTCAGTTTGGTCGAGGAGCTGCCTCTTCTGGAGGCCTAAACTTGAAACAGCCTCCCTTGCCTGCGACTGGGGCCAATGCTCCCCACTGGACGGAGCTCCTGATGATGGCTCAGCCCCATCCCATATTGCTTCTAGTTACTAAACTGCCTTGTTCCTGCTGAAGACAGCTCTTCCCGAGCCTGGTCTGGCTGGTGGCTTCTTGGGGCCTGTGTGGGGTTGCTGGAGCTTCCCCCGTCTGTGCTGTCCTGGGTATCTCTTGGGTGAGGCCCTGCGCTTTGCTGCTCGTTGTCACGGCTTCTAAGGGCCCAGGTGCTGGCTCCTCGGCAGGGGGACATTTTGTGTTTTTGGAAGGTGCTGGGGTCTGACACTCTCGTATGGGGGTCTGGGTGGCATGTAAGAGGGGCTGTCTTTCCCTGAATGTGAGTTTCTGGGTCTTATCTTGGGGTGTGGCAGTGTGAAGTGTATGTTCATTGGTGTGTTCACTGGTCTTCTTTGGGAGCTGAATTTAAACTCATCCTGGTGCCTGGAAATGCAGTCTAGACCCTCCATGGAAGCCTTTACCTGAGCTCGATTGTAGCTGTGATTCCACTGGGAGCAGCCGCGACAGCCCACGTGCCACGAGCATGGCTGCCTGAGCCTCTGCGCGAGCCCTGCTTGCAGGTGTTGGGTGTAAAATCAGAAAGGGGGCTGATTCCACCGGGAGCAGCCGCGACAGCCCACGTGCCACGAGCATGGCTGCCTGAGCCTCTGCGCGAGCTCTGCTTGCAGGTGTTGGGTGTAAAATCAGAAATGGGGCTGATTCCACCGGGAGCAGTCGCGACAGCCCATGTGCCACCAGCATGGCTGCCTGAGCCTCTGCGCGAGCCCTGCTTGCAGGTATTGGGTGTAAAATCAAATGGGGCTGTCGGATCATCTGCTACTTCCACATTGAACTTTTCCCGTGTGCTTTCCACGGCGACTGCATCAGGTTACGTTCCTGCCCGCGGAGCACAGGGCCCTATTTTCTCCATGTTCTCACCCACACGCGTTATTTTCGGTTTTGCTTCGTTTCGTTTTTTGATAGCAGATGTCCTGCTGAGCGGGCAGTAGGTCTCACTGTGGTTTTGATTTGCGTTGCCTTGACGCTGGTGATGCTGGGCGCCTTCCCTGTGCTTTCAGCTGTTTGTACATCTTCTCTGGAGAAAAGTCTACTCAGGTCCTTTACCCGTTTTTAATCAGGTTTTTTGTTGTTGTTGTCGAGTTGTGGTTCTTTATGTATTTTGGATACAAATCCCTTATCAGATAGATGAGGGCAAATATTTCCCCACTCCCTGGCTGCCTTTTCCTGCTGCTAATAGTGTCCTTTGATGCACAGAAGTTTTAATTTTGATGGTTACATTCTTTCTTTTTGAGATGAAGTTTCACTCTTGTTGCCCAGGCTGGAGTGCAATGGCGCAATCTCAGCTCACTGCAACGCAGAGCTGGTCATCGGCATGTGCTGGCTGAAAAGAACCCAGCACTTGTCCACCCTGCCGTTCTCCTTCGCTTTTGAAGCCCCTAAGGACTTAATATTTCCTGGATCTTGGCTCAAGTGAGCACGATGATGAGGTTTCCTGAGCTCCCGGTGGTCTGGAATGGTTGATCCTGTTTCCGTACCTCCCTCATGGGTGCTAAGTGTCAGTCAGACTTTCCTGCCGCTGCCCATTCCTCTATGGGCTCCAGCAAGGCACCCAACCTCTCTGGGCTCTAGTTTCTGAATATGGAATGGGGACCATGACAGTTTATGCCACTAAGGGTTATCATAAGGACTGACTGAGTTGACTGTGTGAGTGATGTCTGTAGATGTCAGCTCTTATGGTGAGAGTGTGGGTGTGAGCGACGTCTGCAGGTGTCAGCTCTTATGGTGAGAGTGTGGGTGTGAGTGACGTCTGCAGGTGTCAGCTCTTATGGTGAGAGTGTGGGTTTGAGTGACGTCTGCAGGTGTCAGCTCTTATGGTGAGAGTGTGGGTGTGAGTGACGTCTGCAGGTGTCAGCTCTTATGGTGAGAGTGTGGGTGTGAGTGACGTCTGCAGATGTCAGCTCTTATGGTGAGAGTGTGGGTGTGAGTGACGTCTGCAGGTGTCAGCTCTTATGGTGAGAGTGTGGGTGTGAGTGACGTCTGCGGGTGTCAGCTCTATGGTGAGAGTGTGGGTGTGAGTGACGTCTGCGGGCGTCAGCTCTTATGGTGAGAGTGTGAGTGTGAGTGACGTGTGTGGGTGTGAGTGACGTCTGTGGGCGTCGGCTCTTATGGTGAGAGTGTGGGTGTGAGTGACCTCTGCGGGCGACAGCTCTTATGGTGAGAGTGTGGGTGTGAGTGACGTCTGCAGGTGACACCCCTTCTGGTGAGAGTGTGGATGTGAGTAACGTCTGCGGGTGTCAGCTCTTATGGTGAGAGTGTGGGTGTGAGTGACGTCTGCAGGTGTCACCTCTTATGGTGAGAGTGTGGGTGTGAGTGACGTCTGCGGGCGACAGCTCTTATGGTGAGAATGTGGGTGTGAGTGACGTCTGCAGGTGTCAGCTCATATGGTGAGTGTGGGTGTGAGTGACGCCTGCGGGGCACACTCTTATGGTGAGAGTGTGGGTGTGAGTGACGTCTGCTGGTGTCACCTCTTACGGTGAGAGTGTGGGTGTGAGTGACGTCTGCAGGTGTCAGCTCTTATGGTGAGAGTGTCGGTGTGAGTGACGTCTGCGGGCGTCAGCTCTATGGTGAGAGTGTGGGTGTGAGTGACCTCTGCGGGCGACAGCTCTTATGGTGAGAGTGTGGGTGTGAGTGACGTCTGCATGTGTTACCTCTTATGGTGAGAGTGTGGGTGTGAGTGATGTCTGCGGGTGTCACCTCTTATGGTGAGAGTGTGGGTGTGAGTGACGTCTGCAGATGTCACCTCTTATGGTGAGAGTGTGGGTGTGAGTGACGTCTGCACGTGTCACCAATTATGGTGAGAGTGTGGGTGTGAATGACGTCTGAAGGTGTTACCTCTTATGGTGAGAGTGTGGGTGTGAGTGACCTCTGCGGGCGACAGCTCTTATGGTGAGAGTGTGGGTGTGAGTGACGTCTGCATGTGTTACCTCTTATGGTGAGAGTGTGGGTGTGAGTGACGTGTGTGGGTGTGAGTGACGTCTATGGGCGTCGGCTCTTATGGTGAGAGTGTGGGTGTGAATGACGTCTGCAGGTGTCACCAATTATGGTGAGAGTGTGGGTGTGAATGACGTCTGCAGGTGTTACCTCTTATGGTGAGAGTGTGGGTGTGAGTGACGTCTGCGGGCGTCAGCTCTTATGGTGAGACTGTGGGTGTGAGTGACGTGTGGGTGTGAGTGACGTCTGCAGGTGTCACCAATTATGGTGAGAGTGTGGGTGTGAATGACGTCTGCAGGTGTCACCTCATGGTGAGTGTGGGTGTGAGTGACGTCTGCAGGTTTCACCTCTTATGGTGAGAGTGTGGGTGTGAGTGACATCTGCGGGCGTCAGCTCTTATGGTGAGAGTGTGAGTGTGATTGACGTGTGTGGGTGTGACTGACTTCGGGTGTCAGCTCTTATGGTGAGAGTGTGGGTGTGAGTGACGTCTGCATGTGTCAGCTCTTATGGTGAGAGTGTGGGTGTGAGTGACATGTGTGGGTGTGAGTGACGTCTGCAGGTGTCACCAATTATGGTGAGAGTGTGGGTGTGTGTGACGTCTGCATGTGTCACCTCTTATGGTGAGTGTGGGTGTGAGTGACGTCTGCAGGTTTCACCTCTTATGGTGAGAGTGTGGGTGTGAGTGACGTCTGCGGGCGTCAGCTCTTATGGCTAGAGTGTGAGTGTGAGTGACGTGTGTGGGTGTGAGTGATGTCTGCGGGCGTCGGCTCTTATGGTGAGATTGTGGGTGTGAGTGACCTCTGCGGGCGACAGCTCTTATGGTGAGAATGTGGGTGTGAGTGACGTCTGCAGGTGTCACCTATTATGGTGAGAGTGTGGATGTGAGTGACGTCTGCGGGTGTCAGCTCTTACGGTGAGAGTGTGTGTGTGAGTGACGTCTGCGGGTGTCAGCTCTTATGGTGAGAGTATGGGTGTGAGTGACCTCTGTGGGCCTCAGCTCTTATGGTGACAGTGTGGGTGTGAGTGATGTCTGTGGGTGTCAGCTCCTATGGTGAGAATGTGGGTGTGAGTGATGTCTGTAGGTGTCACCTCTTATAGTGAGAGTGTGGGTGTGAGTGACGTGTGCCGGCATCAGCTCTTATGGTGAGAGTGTGGGTGTGAGTGACGTCTGCGAGTGTCAGGTCTTATGGTGAGAGTGTGGGTGTGAGTGACGTCTCCAGGTGTCACCTCTTATGGTGCGAGTGTGGGTGTGAGTGACGTCTGCAGGTGTCACCTCTTATGGTGACAGTGTGGGTGTGAGTGACGTCTGCATATGTCACCTCTTATAGTGAGAGTGTGGGTGTGAGTGACTTCTGCGGGCGACAGCTCTTATGGGGAGAGTGTGGGTGTGAGTCACGTCTGCGGGCGACAGCTCTTATGGTGAGAGTGTGGGTGTGAGTGACGTCTGCAGGTGTCACCTCTTATGGTGAGACTGTGGGTGTGAGTGATGTCTGCAGGTGTCACTTCTTATGGTGAGAGTGTGGGTGTGAGTGACATTTGCAGGTGTCACTTCTTATGGTGAGAGTGTGGGTGTGAGTGACGTCTGCAGGTGTCAGCTCTTATGGTGAGAGTGTGGGTGTGAGTGACGTCTGCAGGTGTCACCTCTTATGGTGAGACTGTGGGTGTGAGTGATGTCTGCAGGTGTCACTTCTTATGGTGAGAGTGTGGGTGTGAGTGACGTTTGCAGGTGTCACTTCTTATGGTGAGAGTGTGGGCGTGAGTGACGTTTGCATGTGTCACCTCTTATGGTGAGAAGTGTGTACGTGAGTGACGTCTGCAGGCATCAGCTTTTATGGTGAGAGTATGGGTGTGAGTGTCCTCTGTGGGCCTCAGCTCTTATCGTGAGAGTGTGGGTGTAAGTGACATCTGCAGGTGTCAACTCTTATGGTGAGAGTGTGGGTGTGAGTGACGTCTGCAGGCATCAGCTCTTATGGTGACAGCGTGGGTGTGAGTGACATCTGCATGTGTCACCTCTTATGGTTGAGAGTGTGGGTGTGAGTGACGTATGCAGGTGTCAGCTCTTATGGTGAGAGTATGGGTGTGAGTGACATCTGCAGGTGTCACCTCTTATGGTGCGAGTGTGGGTGTGAGTGACGTCTGCAGGTGTCACCTCTTATGGTGACAGTGTGGGTGTGAGTGACGTCTGCATATGTCACCTCTTATAGTGAGAGTGTGGGTGTGAGTGACTTCTGCGGGCGACAGCTCTTATGGGGAGAGTGTGGGTGTGAGTCACGTCTGCGGGCGACAGCTCTTATGGTGAGAGTGTGGGTGTGAGTGACGTCTGCAGGTGTCACCTCTTATGGTGAGACTGTGGGTGTGAGTGATGTCTGCAGGTGTCAGTTCTTATGGTGAGAGTGTGGGTGTGAGTGACATTTGCAGGTGTCACTTCTTATGGTGAGAGTGTGGGTGTGAGTGACGTCTGCAGGTGTCAGCTCTTATGGTGAGAGTGTGGGTGTGAGTGACGTCTGCAGGTGTCACCTCTTATGGTGAGACTGTGGGTGTGAGTGATGTCTGCAGGTGTCACTTCTTATGGTGAGAGTGTGGGTGTGAGTGACGTTTGCAGGTGTCACTTCTTATGGTGAGAATGTGGGTGTGAGTGACGTTTGCATGTGTCACCTCTTATGGTGAGAACTGTGTACGTGAGTGACGTCTGCAGGCATCAGCTTTTATGGTGAGAGTATGGGTGTGAGTGTCCTCTGTGGGCCTCAGCTCTTATGGTGAGAGTGTGGGTGTGAGTGACGTCTGCAGGTGTCACCTCTTATGGTGAGAGTGTGGGTGTGAGTGACGTCTGCAGGCATCAGCTCTTATGGTGACAGTGTGGGTGTGAGTGACATCTGCATGTGTCACCTCTTATGGTCAGAGTGTGGGTGTGAGTGTCCTCTGTGGGCCTCAGCTCTTATGGTGAGAGTGTGGGTGTGAGTGACGTCTGCAGGTGTCACCTCTTATGGTGAGAGTGTGGATGTGAGTGACGTCTGCGGGTGTCAGCTCTTATGGTGACAGTGTGGGTGTGAGTGACGTCAGCAGGTGTCAGCGCTTATGGTGAGAGTGTGGGTGTGAGTGACGCCTCCGGACGACAGCTATTATGGTGAGAGTGTGGGTGTGAGTGACGTCTGCAGGTGTCACCTCTTATGGTGAGAGTGTGGGTGTGAGTAACGTCTGCGGGCGTCAGCTCTATGGTGAGAGTGTGGGTGTGAGTGATGTCTGCGGGCATCACCTCTTATGGTGAGAGTGTGGGTGTGACGTCTGCAGGTGTCACCTCTTATGGTGAGAGTGTGGGTGTGAGTGACGTCTGCAGGTGTCACCAATTATGGTGAGAGTGTGGGTGTGAGTGACGTCTGCGGGCGTCAGCTCTTATGGTGAGAGTGTGGGTGTGAGTGACCTCTGCGGGCGAGACTCATTATGGTGAGAGTGTGGGTGTGAGTGACGTCTGCAGGTGTCACACTCTTATGGTGAGAGTGTGAGTGTGAGTGACGTGTGTGGGTGTGAGTGACGTCTATGGGCGTCACCTCTTATGGTGAGAGTGTGGGTGTGAGTGACGTTTGCAGGTGTCACCTCTTATGGTGAGAGTGTGGTTGTGAGTGACGTCTGCGGGCGTCAGCTCTTATGGTGAGAGTGTGGGTGTGAGTGACGTCTGCAGGTGTCACCAATTATGGTGAGAGTGTGGGTGTGAATGACGTCTGCAGGTGTCTCCTCTTATGGTGAGAGTGTGGGTGTGAGTGACGTCTGCAGGTGTCACCAATTATGGTGAGAGTGTGGGTGTGAATGACGTCTGCAGGTGTCACCTCTTATGGTGAGAGTGTGGGTGCGAGTGACGTCTGCAGGTGTCACCTCTTATGGTGAGAGTGTGGGTTTGAGTGACGTCTGTGGGTGTCACCTCTTATGGTGAGAGTGTGGGTGTGAGGGACGTCTGCAGGTGTTACCTCTTATGGTGAGAGTGTGGGTGTGAGGGACGTCTGCAGGTGTCACCTCTTAGGGTGACAGTGTGGGTGTGAATGATGTCTGTGCGTGACAGCTCTTATGGTGAGAGTGTGAGTTTGAGTGACGTCTGCAGGTGTCAGCTCTTATGGTGAGAATGTGGGTGTTAGTGACGTCTGCAAGTGTCACCTCTTATGGTGAGAGTGTC
The DNA here is from genome assembly GCF_000001405.40 of Homo sapiens. NCBI lineage: Eukaryota > Metazoa > Chordata > Mammalia > Primates > Hominidae > Homo > Homo sapiens. The sequence continues at coordinate 139,990 of NT_187560.1, forward strand.
GGTGTGAGTGACGTCTGCAGGTGTCACCTCTTATGGTGAGAGTATGGCTGTAAGTGACCTCTGTGGGCCTCAGCTCTTATGGTGAGAGTGTGGGTGTGAGTGACGTCTGCGGGTGTCAGCTCTTATGGTGACAGTGTGGGTGTGAGTGATGTCTGTGGGTGACAGCTCTTATGGTGAGAGTGTGGGTGTGAGTGACGTCTGCGGGCATCAGCTCTTATGGTGAGAGTGTGAGTGTGAGTGACGAGTGTGGGTGTGAGTGACGTCTGCGGGCGTCGGATCTTATGGTGAGAGTGTGGGTGTGAGTGACCTGTGCGGGCGACAGCTCTTATGGTGAGAGTGTGGGTGAGTGACGTCTGCAGGTGTCACTTCTTATGGTGAGAGTGTGGATGTGAGTGACGTCTGCAGGTGTCACCTCTTATGGTGAGACTGTGGGTGTGAGTGACGTCTGCGGGCGTCAGCTCTTTTGGTGAGAGTGTGGGTGTGAGTGACGTCTGCGGGCGTCAGCTCTTATGGTGAGAGTGTGGGTGTGAGTGACGTGTGGGTGTGAGTGACGTCTGCATGTGTCACCAATTATGGTGAGAGTGTGGGTGTGAATGACGTCTGCAGGTGTCAACTCTTATGGTGAGTGTGGGTGTGAGTGACGTCGGCAGGTTTCACCTCTTATGGTGAGAGTGTGGGTGTGAGTGACATCTGCGGGCGTCAGCTCTTATGGTGAGAGTGTGGGTGTGAGTGACATGTGTGGGTGTGAGTGACGTCTGCAGGTGTCACCAATTATTGTGAGAGTGTGGGTGTGAGTGACGTCTGCATGTGTCAGCTCTTATGGTGAGAGTGTGGGTGTGAGTGACGTCTGCAGGTGTCACCTCTTATGGTGAGAGTGTGGGTGTGAGTGACGTCTGCGGGCGTCAGCTCTTATGGCTAGAGTGTGAGTGCGAGTGACGTGTGTGGGTGTGAGTGATGTCTGCGGGCGTCGGCTCTTATGGTGAGATTGTGGGTGTGAGTGACCTCTGCGGGCGACAGCTCTTATGGTGAGAATGTGGGTGTGAGTGACGTCTGCACGTGTCACCTCTTATGGTGAGACTGTGGGTGTGAGTGATGTCTGCAGTTGTCACTTCTTATGGTGAGAGTGTGGGTGTGAGTGACATTTGCAGGTGTCACTTCTTATGGTGAGAGTGTGGGTGTGAGTGACGTCTGCAGGTGTCACCTCTTATGGTGAGACTGTGGGTGTGAGTGATGTCTGCAGGTGTCACTTCTTATGGTGATAGTGTGGGTGTGAGTGACATTTGCAGGTGTCACTTATGGTGAGAGTGTGGGTGTGAGTGACGTCTGCAGGTGTCAGCTCTTATGGTGAGAGTGTGGGTGTGAGTGACGTCTGCAGGTGTCACCTCTTATGGTGAGACTGTGGGTGTGAGTGATGTCTGCAGGTTTCACTTCTTATGGTGAGAGTGTGGGTGTGAGTGACGTTTGCAGGTGTCACTTCTTATGGTGAGAGTGTGGGTGTGAGTGACGTTTGCATGTGTCACCTCTTATGGTGAGAAGTGTGTACGTGAGTGACGTCTGCAGGCATCAGCTTTTATGGTGAGAGTATGGGTGTGAGTGTCCTCTGTGGGCCTCAGCTCTTATGGTGAGAGTGTGGGTGTGAGTGACATCTGCAGGTGTCAACTCTTATGGTGAGAGTGTGGGTGTGAGTGACGTCTGCAGGCATCAGCTCTTATGGTGACAGCGTGGGTGTGAGTGACATCTGCATGTGTCACCTCTTATGGTTGAGAGTGTGGGTGTGAGTGACGTCTGCAGGTGTCAGCTCTTATGGTGAGAGTATGGGTGTGAGTGATATCTGCAGGTGTCACCTCTTATGGTGAGAGTATGGGTGTGAGTGTCCTCTGTGGGCCTCAGCTCTTATGGTGACAGTGTGGGTGTGAGTGACGTCTGCAGGTGTCACCTCTTATGGTGAGAGTGTGGGTGTGAGTGACGTCTGCAGGCATCAGCTCTTATGGTGACAGTGTGGGTGTGAGTGACATCTGCATGTGTCACCTCTTATGGTCAGAGTGTGGGTGTGAGTGTCCTCTGTGGGCCTCAGCTCTTATGGTGAGAGTGTGGGTGTGAGTGACGTCTGCAGGTGTCACCTCTTATGGTGAGAGTGTGGATGTGAGTGACGTCTGCGGGTGTCAGCTCTTATGGTGACAGTGTGGGTGTGAGTGACGTCAGCAGGTGTCAGCGCTTATGGTGAGAGTGTGGGTGTGAGTGACGCCTCCGGACGACAGCGCTTATGGTGAGAGTGTGGGTGTGAGTGACGCCTCCGGACGACAGCTATTATGGTGAGAGTGTGGGTGTGAGTGACGTCTGCAGGTGTCACCTCTTATGGTGAGAGTGTGGGTGTGAGTAACGTCTGCGGGCGTCAGCTCTATGGTGAGAGTGTGGGTGTGAGTGATGTCTGCGGGCGTCACCTCTTATGGTGAGAGTGTGGGTGTGACGTCTGCAGGTGTCACCTCTTATGGTGAGAGTGTGGGTGTGAGTGACGTCTGCAGGTGTCACCAATTATGGTGAGAGTGTGGGTGTGAGTGACGTCTGCGGGCGTCGGCTCTTATGGTGAGAGTGTGGGTGTGAGTGACCTCTGTGGGCGAGAGCTCTTATGGTGAGAGTGTGGGTGTGAGTGACGTCTGCAGGTGTCACCTCTTATGGTGAGAGTGTGGGTGTGAGTGACGTGTGTGGGTGTGAGTGACGTCTATGGGCGTCACCTCTTATGGTGAGAGTGTGGGTGTGAGTGACGTCTGCAGGTTTCACCTCTTATGGTGAGAGTGTGGGTGTGAGTGACATCTGCGGGCGTCAGCTCTTATGGTGAGAGTGTGGGTGTGAGTGACGTGTGGGTGTGAGTGACGTCTGCAGGTGTCAGCTCTTATGGTGAGAGTGTGGGTGTGAGTGACGTCTGCATGTGTCAGCTCTTATGGTGAGAGTGTGGGTGTGAGTGACATGTGTGGGTGTGAGTTCCGTCTGCAGGTGTCACCAATTATGGTGAGAGTGTGGGTGTGTGTGACGTCTGCATGTGTCACCTCTTATGGTGAGAGTGTGGGTGTGAGTGACGTCTGCAGGTGTCACCTCTTATGGTGAGAGTGTGGGTGTGAGTGACGTCTGCGGGCGTCAGCTCTTATGGCTAGAGTGTGAGTGTGAGTGACGCGTGTGTGTGTGAGTGATGTCTGCGGGTGTCGGCTCTTATGGTGAGATTGTGGGTGTGAGTGACCTCTGCGGGCGACAGCTCTTATGGTGAGAGTGTGGGTGTGAGTGACGTCTGCGGGTGTCAGCTCTTATGGTGAGAGTGTGGGTGTGAGTGACGTCTGCGGGTGTCAGCTCTATGGTGAGAGTGTGGGTGTGAGTGACCTCTGTGGGCCTCAGCTCTTATGGTGAGAGTGTGTGTGTGAGTGATGTCTGCGGGTGTCAGCTCTTATGGTGAGAGTATGTGTGTGAGTGACCTCTGTGGGCCTCAGCTCTTATGGTGACAGTGTGGGTGTGAGTGATGTCTGTGGGTGTCAGCTCTTATGGTGAGAATGTGGGTGTGAGTGATGTCTGTAGGTGTCACCTCTTATAGTGAGAGTGTGGGTGTGTGTGACGTGTGCCGGCATCAGCTCTTATGGTGAGAGTGTGGGTGTGAGTGACGTCTGCGAGTGTCAGGTCTTATGGTGAGAGTGTGGGTGTGAGTGACGTCTCCAGGTGTCACCTCTTATGGAGAGAGTGTGGGTGTGAGAGACGTCTGCAGGTGTCACCTCTTATGGTGACAGTGTGGGTGTGAGTGACGTCTGCAGGTGTCACCTCTTATGGTGCGAGTGTGGGTGTGAGTGACGTCTGCAGGTGTCACCTCTTATGGTGACAGTGTGGGTGTGAGTGACGTCTGCAGATGTCACCTCTTATGGTGAGAGTGTGGGTGTGAGTGACTCCTGCGGGCGACAGCTCTTTTGGGGAGAGTGTGGGTGTGAGTCACGTCTGCGGGCGACAGCTCTTATGGTGAGAGTGTGGGTTTGAGTGACGTCTGCAGGTGTCACCTCTTATGGTGAGACTGTGGGTGTGAGTGATGTCTGCAGGTGTCACTTCTTATGGTGAGAGCGTGGGTGTGAGTGACATTTGCAGGTGTCACTTCTTATGGTGAGAGTGTGGGTGTGAGTGACGTCTGCAGGTTTCAGCTCTTATGGTGAGAGTGTGGGTGTGAGTGACGTCTGCAGGTGTCACCTCTTATGGTGAGACTGTGGGTGTGAGTGATGTCTGCAGGTGTCACTTCTTATGGTGAGAGTGTGGGTGTGAGTGACGTTTGCAGGTGTCACTTCTTATGGTGAGAGTGTGGGTGTGAGTGACGTTTGCATGTGTCACCTCTTATGGTGAGAAGTGTGTACGTGAGTGACGTCTGCAGGCATCAGCTCTTATGGTGAGAGTATGGGTGTGAGTGTCCTCTGTGGGCCTCAGCTCTTATGGTGAGAGTGTGGGTGTAAGTGACATCTGCAGGTGTCAACTCTTATGGTTAGAGTGTGGGTGTGAGTGATGTCTGCAGGCATCAGCTCTTATGGTGACAGTGTGGGTGTGAGTGACATCTGCAGGTGTCACTTCTTATGGTGAGAGTGTGGGTGTGAGTGACGTCTGCAGGTGTCACCTCTTATGGTGAGAGTATGGATGTGAGTGACCTCTTTGTGCCTCAGCTCTTATGGTGAGAGTGTGGGTGTGAGTGCCGTCTGTAGATGTCACCTCTTATGGTGAGAGTGTGGGTGTGAGTGACGTCTGCAGGTGTCAGCTCTTATGTTGAGAGTATGGGTGTGAGTGACATCTGCAGGTGTCACCTCTTATGGTGAGAGTGTGGGTGTGAGTGTCCTCTGTGGGCCTCAGCTCTTATGGTGAGAGTGTGGGTGTGAGTGACGTCTGCAGATGTCACCTCTTATCGTGAGAGTGTGGGTGTCAGTGACGTCTGCGGGTGTCAGCTCTTATGGACAGAGTGTGGATGTGAGTGATGTCTGCAGGTGTCACATCTTATGGTGAGAGTGTGGATGTGAGTGACATCTGCAGGTGTCGGCTCTTATGGTGGGAGTATGGGTGTGAGTGACCTCTGTGGGCCTCAGCTCTTATGGTGAGAGTGTGGGTGTGAGTGTCGTCTGCAGATGTCACCTCTTATCGTTAGAGTGTGGGTGTCAGTGACGTTTGCGGTTGTCAGCTCTTATGGAGAGAGTGTGGATGTGAGTGACGTCTTCAGTTGTCAGCTCTTATCGTGGGAGTGTGAGTGTGAGTGACATCTGCGGGCGTCAGCTCTTATGGTGAGAGTGTGGGTGTGAGTGACGTCTGCGGGTGTCAGCTCTTATGGTGAGAATCTGGTTGTTAGTGTCGTCTGCGGGTGTCACCTCTTAGGGTGACAGTGTGGGTGTGAGTGATGTCTGTGCGTGACAGCTCTTATGGTGAGAGTGTGAGTTTGAGTGACGTCTGCAGGTGTCAGCTCTTATGGTGAGAATGTGGGTGTTAGTGACGTCTGCAAGTGTCACCTCTTATGGTGAGAGTGTCGGCGTGAGTGACGTCTGCAGGTGTCACCTCTTATGGTGAGAGTATGGCTGTAAGTGACCTCTGTGGTCCTCAGCTCTTATGGTGAGAGTGTGGGTGCGAGTGACGTCTGCGGGTGTCACCTCTTATGGTGAGAGTGTGGGTTTGAGTGACGTCTGCGGGTGTCACCTCTTATGGTGAGAGTGTGGGTGTGAGGGACGTCTGCAGGTGTCACCTCTTAGGGTGACAGTGTGGGTGTGAGTGATGTCTGTGCGTGACAGCTCTTATGGTGAGAGTGTGAGTGTGAGTGACATCTGCAGGTGTCAGCTCTTATGGTGAGAATGTGGGTGTTAGTGACGTCTGCAAGTGTCACCTCTTATGGTGAGAGTGTCGGTGTGAGTGACGTCTGCAGGTGTCACCTCTTATGGTGAGAGTATGGCTGTAAGTGACCTCTGTGGGCCTCAGCTCTTATGGTGAGAGTGTGGGTGTGAGTGACATCTGCGGGTGTCAGCTCTTATGGTGACAGTGTGGGTGTGAGTGATGTCTGTGGGTGACAGCTCTTATGGTGAGAGTGTGTGAGTGACGAGTGTGGGTGTGAGTGACGTCTGCGGGCGTCGGATCTTATGGTGAGAGTGTGGGTGTGAGTGACCTGTGCGGGCGACAGCTCTTATGGTGAGAGTGTGGGTGAGTGACGTCTGCAGGTGTCACCTCTTATGGTGAGAGTGTGGATGTGAGTGACGTCTGCAGGTGTCACCTCTTATGGTGAGACTGTGGGTGTGAGTGACGTCTGCGGGCGTCAGCTCTTATGGTGAGAGTGTGGGTGTGAGTGACGTCTGCGGCCGTCAGCTCTTATGGTGAGAGTGTGGGTGTGAGTGACGTGTGGGTGTGAGTGACGTCTGCATTTGTCACCAATTATGGTGAGATTGTGGGTGTGAATGACGTCTGCAGGTGTCAACTCTTATGGTGAGTGTGGGTGTGAGTGACATCTGCAGGTTTCACCTCTTATGGTGAGAGTGTGGGTGTGAGTGACATCTGCGGGCGTCAGCTCTTATGGTGAGAGTGTCGGTGTGAGTGACATGTGTGGGTGTGAGTGACGTCTGTAGGTGTCACCAATTATGGTGAGAGTGTGGGTGTGAGTGACGTCTGCGTGTGACAGCTCTTCTGGTGAGAGTGTGGGTGTGAGTGACATCTGCAGATGTCACCTCTTATGGTGAGAGTGTGGGTGTGAGTGATGTCTGCGGGCATCAGCTCTTATGGTGAGAGTGTGGGTGTGAGTGACGTCTGCAGGTGTCACCTCTTATGGTGAGAGTGTGGGTGTGAGTGTCGTCTGCGTGTGACAGCTCTTATGGTGAGAGTGTGGGTGTGAATGACGTCTGCGGGCATCAGCTCTTATGGTGAGAGTGTGGGTGTGAATGACGTCTGCGGGCATCAGCTCTTATGGTGAGAGTGTGGATGTGAGTGACGTCTGCGGGCGTCAGCTCTTATGGTGAGAGTGTGGGTGTGAGTGACGTCTGCGTGTGACAGCTCTCATGGTGAGAGTGTGGGTGTGAGTGACGTCTGCGGGCGTCAGCTCTTATGGTGAGAGTGTGGGTGTGAGTGTCGTCTGCGTGTGACAGCTCTTATGGTGAGAGTGTGGGTGTGAGTGACGTCTGCAGGTGTCACCTCTTATGGTGAGAGTGTGGGTGTGAGTGACGTCTGCGGGTGTCACCTCTTATGGTGAGAGTGTGGGTGTGAGTGTCGTCTGCGGGCGTGAGCTCTTATGGTGAGAGTCGCCATACAAGACCTGAGGAGTTTGTGAGTTGGTTGCAGAATAGGACACTCTGCCAGTCACTCCATGTAGCTATGGTGACCGCATTTTCTCAGTCAGACGCTGGCATCTACAGTCTAAAGTGAAAGTGAGTCTCCGTAGAGGACACAGCCTCGAGCGGTGAAGTGGGACCATGTGGACAGATCTTGGGTTGCGACTCCCAGGCCAACTCTGAGCAAGTTCCTTAACCTCCCTGTGCCTTAATTTCCACATGGCGTCAATGGGATAATAATACGCAGTGTCTTAGTCCATGAAGGCTGCTCAAAGTACCACCTATTGCGGGGCTTAGAAACAGCAGACATTGATTTCTCAGTTCTGAAGGCTGGAAGCCAAGGTAACCGCCCTGGCAGGGTTGACGTCTGATGTCTGGCGAGTCCCCTCCTGGCTCATCGACGGTGCCTCCTCACGTGTCCTCATGTGGCCGGAGCGTGAGCCGTCCTTGGGTCCTCTGTAAGGAAGGCCCCACCTCCTCGCCTCTCAGCCGTCCGCCTGCTAACAGCAGCACCCGGGGCTGGTTTCGGCACACAGCCTGTTGCATGGAGGAGGAGCCTCATGGGCTTGGGGTGGGGGTTTAAGGCATCCTTAAAGGTAAAAGGCTGGGAAGTGCTGGGCGCGCTGGTGCTCCGTGAGGGAGGCATGACTGGCTGTGTTCTCGGCACTGTCTTCACTGTCCTCCCCTCCTAGCCTGCTCCTCACCTCCCAGAAGGGCCTCCCACCCGCCACGCTTCCCCCTGCCCCGCCTGGCCGGCGTCTGCTGGGCTCCTCAGTACTGCCGGCTCACACCCTCAAGCTGTGGCTTCTGTCGTGCGCCTCCCTCGGTGCAGTGGGCTGTGCGCCGCTGGATTTGCCATCCCAGGCCTCACTGGGATCCCTGGGTGGCGGGAGGAATGGAGGCCCCACTCATAGTGACTTGCAGATGTCACTCACACCCACAATCTCATCATAAGACCTGATGCTTGCAGACATCACTCACACTCACAAGGGAAGCTGGCCTCTCCTGGATTTACCGTCCCAGGCCTCACTGGGATCCCTGGGTGGCGAGAGGAACAGAGGTCCCGCTTGTCGCTCAGGGAAGCTGGGATCTCCTGGATTTACTGTCCCAGGCCTCCCTGGGATCCCTGGGTGGCGGGGGGGGGGGAATGGAGGCCCCGCTCCTAGTGACTTGCAGATGTCACTCACACCCACACTCTCACCATAAGACCTGACACCTGCAGACGTCACTCACACTCACAAGGGAAGCTGGCCTCTCCTGGATTTACCATCCCAGGCCTCACTGGGATCTGGGTGGTGGGAGGAATGGGGGCCCTGCTCCTCACACAAGGGAAGCTGGCCTCTCCGGACAGTGAGACTCCCGCTGTGGGTGCAGGTGCTGCCCGGACGCGGGGCTCCTCCCCAGTCAGAGCCTCACGCTGCTCTGCAGATGCATAGGCTGTGCTGGCCGCTCCCAGGCACTGTCACTCTGTCCCCTGCCTTCTGCTGCCTGTCAGTGGCTGCTCTGAACTGTAACGAAATCCTTGAAAATAAAGGAATTTCCAGCGATATAGGGTCTCGGCTTATCTTCAGGTTTCGTTACGAACTAAGCTGCTCAGACTTCACAGCAGTCCTGCCTTGGACGCAGCCCACGGATCCAACGGCTCCTTAAATCTGACCTGGGTGTGTGGTGAGCCAGTGCCTGCTTCCTTGGGCCTCAGAAGCCATTGCTGTCTCTCAGGATTCACCTTTGGCCTCCTGGAATTTTTGCAGCAGTTATGACTGGATGCCATGACAGCAGTTTCTACTCCCTGAGAATGGGAGCACTTTTACAGCTTCCTTGCAGAATGGGAGCACTTTTACAGCTTCCTTGCAGAAATGTGCATGGCAGGTGCTTGATCAGTTCAGATAAAGGGCTTTTTCTCCCTCTGGAGAATTCCTTTCAACAGGGCAGTGATTCTGAGCTGTAATTACTTTTCCCTCCTCCAAAAATAGCTGGGGAGATTTTTTTCTTGTTGCTGCACCCCTGGGGACCCTGATGGAGCAGTGGGCTCCTCCGTCTGTGGTGCTGCTTTGAGAAGCCCCATGGGACCGAGGGAACCCTGGCAACGCTGCCAGCTCCCTGCAGGGAGGGGACTTCAGAGGCAGCTCCAGTGTCCCAGGGCACCGGGATTTACAGATTGAAGGTACTTTGGCAAGGCAGCCTCCACCAGGAGGGGGCAGTGGGAGAGAGGCAGGGTCCTGAGGGACCCCAGCAGGGGAGGCAGGAAAGAATGAAAGGGTGACCTAGCCTGGTACAGCAGGACACCTGGAGCATGGTGGTCCCAGGCTGGTGAGGGCTCCTTCTGCTATTCTGAGTGTGAGTAGTGAGTGTGTACATGAGAACATGTACATGTGTGAGCATGTGAGAACAGATAGTGTGTACATGTGCATGTGTGTGAGAATGTTCATGTGTGTGAGAACTTGTGCATGTGAGAATGTGTGAGAACGTGTACATGTGTGAGCAGGTGTGTGCATGTGAGAATGTGTGTGAGAACGTGTACATGTGTGAGCATGTGTGAGCATGTGTGTGCATGTGATGTGTGTGTGAGAATGTGTACATGTGTGAGCATGTGTGAGCACGTGTGTGCATGTGAGAATGTGTATGTGAGAATGTGTACATGTGTGAGCATGTGTGAGCACGTGTGTGCATGTGAGAATGTGTGCATGTATGTGGATATGAGAATGTTTACGTGTGTGTTTGAGAATGTGTGCATGTGTGAGAATGTGAGCACGTGTGTGTGCATGTGAGAATGTGTGCACGTGTGGATATGAGTGTGTATGTGTGTGCTTGTGTGAGAATGTGCATGGGTGAGAATGAGTGCATGTGAGAATGTGTGCATGTATGTGCAGATGAGAATGTGTACATGTGCATGTGTGAGAATGTGTATATATGTGAGAATGCATGTGTGTGCATCTGAGAATGTGTATGTGCGTGTGAATGTGTGCGTGTGTGCATGTGTGAGAATGTGTATGTGTGTATGTGAGAACGTGTGAGCATGTGCATGTGTGAGAATGTGTGCATGTGTGAGAACGTGTGCATGCGAGAATGAGCATGTGTGTGAGAATGTATGCATGTGAGAGCATGTGTGAGGATGTGTGCATGTGTGAGAATGTGCATGTGTGTGCATGTGTGTGAGCATGTGTGAAACGTGCATGTGAGAATGTGCATGTGTGTGAGAATGTATGCATGTGAGAGCATGTGTGAGGATGTGTGCATGTGTGAGAATGTGCATGTGTGTGCATGTGAGAGTGTGTGAGCATGTGTGAAAACGTGTGCATGTGAGAATGTGCATGTGTGTGAGAACGTGTGCCTGTGAGAGCATGTGTGAGGATGTGTATGTGAGAATGTGCATGCATTATGTGGTTGTGTGTCTGCATATGTGCATGTGTCTGCATACATTGTGTGTGCATGCTGTGAATGTCTGTGTACGTGGTTGCTTGTGTATTGTGCACACGTGTACAAGTGTGCATTAATTCTCCTGCTGTACTGGGCAGCAGTGTCTCGTCTCCTGGCCCCTCACACTGGCCGACTGAGTCTGCCACTGGCATCTTCAGGCCTGAGCCAGAGCAGGGCTCCTGAGCGATGTCTCGGATGAAGAACTGGCACTGCAGGGAGGCAGCCACGAGGGGTCACTGGTGCTGCTTGGTGCTCACTGGCCACCTGGGTGACCGCAGCCTCTGGGCCTTGCCTTGTTTGGATGCAGGGAGGGAGTGAGTGACAGACCAGCTTGAAGAAGCACAGCAGGGTGCCATTGTTTCATGAGAGGCGGCTGTGCTCCCTCCCTGGCTGCCAGACTCAAGACCTGCGGCGGGTATGGCCTGTGGGGCCCTGGATGTGGTCCCATTCTCTCTGGAAAGTGCGCCCTGAGCCCTGCAACGTTGCTGTTTCTAGTCTCTGGGTTCAGTGCCTGGGACACCCCCAGGAGGCCGTGTTCCCCTCCTGGGCTTCCCAGGTGTGTTCCCAGGGAGCTGCTGTGAGACTGACTGCCCGTTCCTTTTGTCTGGGCAGGGTCAGCTGGCAGCCGCAAGAGCGGATGCATTTGGTGTTTACTGTAGACAGTATTCTGCAAACCTGAGTGTCTGTCTCAGCGATGGCTTTGTGACGATTCTAGAAATGGTCGCAGTCCCTGCCCAGCCCTGGAACGTGCTAGTGCTTGCTCCGCCGGGGCTCTGCCTGCCCGGTGGTTTGCCGGGTGTCTCTCGCCTGCCCTTCTTGTCGGAATACAGCCTCCCACGCCTCTCATCTGCAAAGGCTTCGTAATTGGGGTGCCTTTTCTGCCCATCCCTTCTTGCTCACAATTCAAGAACTTTGTTCTGATAGTTTCCAGGCAGCTGAGATAAATCAGTTTTCACGTGCATACCATTTACCTTAATATGCTGTTTACACAAATGATTGAATAGGTACGCGCATTGTGGTTATTTCAAACAATGCCCTAAGCTAATTGCCTCACTTTGAAATACTAAATTAAGTGATCATATTGTATTCATTAATTCCCAAGTCCTGTTATATTTCCATAAATAAATAAGAAATGTTAAAAAAAAAAAGACATAAGTAAAAGTAGGTAAAGATATTAGAAAAAGGGGAAAAGCAGATGGTTAGTTCACTGGAATCTGTGCCACAGGCGCCTGTAAGCAGGAGGCGTCCCTGCCCAGGAGCTGGTCGTGCTCACGGCGTTTGGTGGAAGGAAGATGCTCCTGGCTGGGGGACCCCCTGTGGATCTCTGTGGAGATTGTGGGGCCTGGGGGACCCCCTGTGGATCTCTGTGGAGAATTGTGGGGACTGGAGGACCCCCTGTGGATCTCTGGGGAGAATTGTGGGGCCTGGGGGACCCCCTGTGGATCTCTGTGGTTAATTGTGGGGACTGGGGGACCCCCTGTGGATCTCTGTGGAGAATTGTGGGGTAACGCAGTGAGTGACGTTTCTCAGCAGATGCACAGTTAGCGTCTCTGGGCCATTTCTCCTAGGATATCCTCTAGGGCAGGCCTGGACGTGTCACTCGGGATGTTGTTTAGTGCAGGCCTGGGCATATCACCTAAGCAAAGTGTGGCAAGAGCACTTTCCTCACGGGGTATCAAAGCCACCTTGTTCGGTCCACAGCTTTCCGGTGCTCCAATTGGATGGTTCTGGGTCAGTGCTATGGGTGTCACAGAGAGTGGAGGCTCAGTATCTCCAAGCAACAGGACCCTCTGGGGCACCCTGGGCAGCAGAGCCCCACCCTTACTCTGAAGAACAGAGGTCCACTAGGATCACCTGCTTCACTTATGGAGCTGGGGATAGAAATGCTGGGGGTCAATCGGCCCTCTGAGCCCAAGCAGAGAGACAGTACGGGACGGGGTGGAGGCGCATGGCCACCTGAGAACTTGCGAGACTCATGCCAGCCCCTCCTAGGGCGCCCCCACCACCACCTTTTTGGTCCCCAGTGAGTCTTTCATCCAAGTGGGTCACTGCCAGGGGTGAGGACTTGTAAATCTATGTGAGATTTCAACAAATGAGGCTTCTAGCTGATGGTCTTAAACACTTCCACGGACATCTCCATTTTCTTTTAGACAAAAGGGAAAATACCAGTTATAGTCATTCACTAACATCCTTTTAGTCCACACCGGGGGCAAGGCACTGTACCAGATGCTGTGGGGGCGTGAAGAGGCTGTAGCTGTGATCCCTGCCTTCCAGGAACTCACGGTGTCACCGGGGAGAGGGTGGTCCTGCAGGGCGGTAGAGGCGAGGTGCCGTCTTGTCCATGCGGAGACTGTGTGTGAGCGTACGCGTGTGGGCGTGTGAGTTTGTGCATGTGCGCTTGTGTGCACCTGTATATGAGTTAGTGTGTCTGGGTGTGTGTGTGTGTGTGCACGTTTGCAAATGTGTGAGTGTGTACGTGCTCCTGTGTGTGTGTCTGCATAATCAAGTGCATGCAAATGAGTGTGTGCACACTTGTGTGTGTACATGTGTTGGAATGTTCACGTGGGTGCATGTGAGTGTGTGTATGTGTGAGTGTCCCGTGCATGGGAGAAGTGTGTGAAAATGTGTGTGTTGGTTCATGCAGGTATGAATGTGCATACATGCACCGTGTACACACGTGTGGTGTAAGGTTGGAGGGAGGTATGCAGCCCCACAGACTATATGAGAATAGAAGTGGGCTGGAAGCTTGGTCCTGGAGGAGGCCTGTGTTTGTGTTTTGGGGACAGTGACGCTTGCGAATGAAATTACTTTGGCCTGTGGGAACAGTGCTCTAAGGACCACTATTTAAAACAAATTACCAAGATAAATGAGCTCTTTTTCTTATTTCTCCAAAAATCCAACCACAGAAAATGCTCAATATTTTCTTTCAAATGAAAGAAACTGACCACCCAATTCTAGATTACTGTTAATAAAAGTGTCTCTAAGCAAACCTTTTGCTCCTCAAAGCTTTTGTGTCCATTGTCCTGGGCCCTGTTCATCCGCTGCTCTGCATCCTGGGCATTCCTTCTCTCACTGTCTTTAGCACTGTCCATTCCGGTCCCAGAGGCAGTGGGGTCCAGCCTTCTGTCTGCACAGTGAAGGGGTTGCGTCCTAGAACTCTGAAATGTGGGGCCCCCTGGTTCACTGAGTCCCTGAGATCGGAGTTCTGTGGGGTCCAGCCTTCTGTCTGCACAGTGAAGGGGGTTGCATCCCAGAACTCTGGGGGTGTGAGGCCCCCCAGTTCGTTGAGTCCCTGATATCGGAGTTCCAGGCCAGGCAGAATTCTTGTCGGGGGACGCCTGCCATGTCTCGCCTCTCCCAGCCAGGGCAGCAAGAAGCCTGCCTTCCTTCCTGTTTTGGAAAAAGACTCATTCTACAGAACGTCTCCCAGAATATTCCCCTCCCCCACAAGCCTGTCTGTGCATGGGCTGGGTAGCATGTGGAAAGGCCTGGTTGCTGCTGCCGGCAGAGGGATGTGTGTTGTCCTAAGGTTCACCTTGCAGATGGCTCCAGTCTATCCAGGTCTCTGGTCTCCATGACCACCATCCTCACTTAGCCACCATCCCCTGGTTGGGGCTGCTCTGTTTACCCGCCATGGGCTCCTGGCAATCTCCAGCCCTTGCCAGGGAGATCTGTTTTAAAACGCAGACCCATTCAAGAGCCTGCCCTGCCTGGAACACCACCCAAGTGGAGGTGGCCTCCTCTAGCTCCTGGGATGAAGGCCACTGCCTCTGATTCCTGCAGGCTCTGCACAATCTGCTTGAGTGGCTTGACCAGCTTGGTGTCCTCTCCTGCCTGATCCAGAACTGCAAGGCCTTGTCTCCACTGCCCACTGGGGCTGACCAGGGCCAGGTGCTGCCATGCACGGAGCTGCTCCCTCCCGGCCGCCCACCAGGGCCAGGTGCTGCCATGCACGGAGCTGCTCCCTCCCCGTTGCCCACTGGGGCCAGGTGCTGCCATGCACGGAGCTGCTCCCTCCTGGCCGCCCACCGGGGCCAGGTGTTGCCATGCACGGAACTGCTCCCTCCCCGTCGCCCACCGGGGCTGGATGCTGCCATGCACGGAGCTGCTCCCTTAGCCTGGAGTGTCCTCGATGTCCTCAGGTCGGCCGCTGTTCGTTCTCTGACCACTGGGTGAGGTCGGTGCCCTCTGTCAGGCGCTCTCGTGCCCTTTTTTGCAGCCTGTCCACAATTATAACCGAACCATCAGTGGTGAACATCTGTTGCCCCAGGATCCTGGAAGCTCTGGAGCATGGAGCCTGCAGTGTCTGCTTTTTCTGTGTGCGTGTCTCCCGGCTGTCCTGGCCTGGCCATGCAAGCAGGATGCAGGGCAGAGCTGTGGCTTCCCTGGGACGAGGGTGTGGGGCGGAGGCAGCCAAGCAGCAGGCATAGCACTGACCTGCTCCCAGAACAGGAAGGGGCTTTGCAAGGCTCAGGCAATGCTGGGGACAGAGATGATGAGCCTTGTTGATGAGAGCACCCAACGCTGCAGGGAAGACAGAGGGAGAAGGCACGAAGCCGTCATCGAGGAGCACCTGGGGGTTAGGCTTCCGCGCAGAGGCACGGGCAGTGTCTGTTTGCCGGAAGGGTTTATGATGTTGGATTGGCGGCATCCTTGGGCACGCACAGTAAGTTTGGCAGTTAAACACGTTAGCGGCTGTGCTTATGTGCATGTATGAGTTAGCAGCTGTGCACGTGTTTCTGTATAAGGATTGACATGTACACATATATTTGCACACGAGTGTTTTGATGGTGACAGTAGCCAAGGACGGGTGGACAGGGAGCCCACAGTTTTCATAGGCAAACCTGTTCTCATCTCCCATGATTTTCAGACAGCCCCCAATTTGAACTCAGTTGCCAGCAATGAGACTTGGAATTAAGGTTGCGCATGGAATGCCCGTTCTGGACGAAGAGCAGGACCCTGGTTCTGAAAGTCTCGTGGATGGGCTCCATCACCCAAGGCCTCCTGCCTCCACTGCGGTGCGGTGATGCACTTCCAGCTGGGAGCTCAGCATGGCCCGCAGGGCTGCAGAGCTGGACGGGTCAGTCCGGGCTTCGATGATAGGGTCATGTCGACAGGCTGCAGGGCCATGGCATGGGAAACAGAGTCCGAAGTAGAAGAGAGTTCATGAGGAAACCCCAAGCAAGCTCAGATCCCAGGTGGGGTCCTGGCCGTGTCCCAAGAACACGAAGGCAGGAGTCCCGCAGAGGAGGGGCCTGAGGGTTACGGGCTCTGGGTAGTTTCTAGGGTGATTAAATGGTCGGCGGTGAGGCGACTTCAGTGTGCCACTTCCCGGGATTGTTTCAGAGGCCGCACTGCACATCTGAGATGGTGGAGCTCAGCCTGGACTGGTGGGAGCTTTGGTTCTCTGGCTCCGGCACCCCTGCTGTGTAGATCACCCCTGGCGTCCCGACTCCGGAGTCTCATCGCACCTGATGCTTTCCTGATTGAGATTTGACTTTCCAGTCCTTTTCTCTAGTATGTTCATAGAGACCTTTTGGGGTCCTGCCTATTAGCCAAGTGACCCGGAAGAACAAAGCAATAGTTTCAAAATTCTGGCCACATAAAAATCAATTCTACCAGATGTATTTAGAAATTTCCTTAATTTTCTATTTCACTGCTAGGCACGTATCCATATTTGGGGGAATCCAGTATCCCCTTAAAATCAAGCAGGTAGCAGCGAACCTGGGCATGATCTGTGGGAGCTTCTGGGCTCCTTCCTTCTGGTCACAATCATCTTCAACAAGCCTTATTGCTGAGTATTTACTAGAATAAAGGACACCCACATCATGAAGTCCTTTAAATACGGAGATAAGGATGCATATCATTGTTGAAAAATGCATTGGATAAAAAATCATGAGATACCGATACACACCTATGACAGCAGCCAAACGCTGGAACATGGACGCCTCCAAGTGTCACCCAGCGCTGCCGAGGACGCGGGAACACGGACGCCACCCGGCGCTGCTGAGGATGCGGGCGACGGGGGCGCCATCACAGCTGCTGGGAGTGAAAAATGGCGTGGCCACCGTTAGGCTGATTGTCACTGTGGTGAGGACATGGGCGATGGGGGTGCCATCGCAGCTGCTGGGAGTGAAAAATGGCACGGCCACTGTTAGGCTGATTGTCACCATGGAGGACAGTTTGGCGGTTTCCTACAAAACTAAGCATACTCTTACCATATGAGCCAGCAGTCACTCGTGTTGGTCTTTACCCAAAAAAGTGGAAAATTAATATCTGCAAATACCCTGTGAGGGAGGCTGTGTGTGTGTGTGAGGGAGGCTGTGTGTGTACGAGGGAGGCTGTGTGTGTACAAGGGAGGCTGTGTGTGTGAGGGAGGCTGTGTGTGTGTGTGAGGGAGACTATGTGAGTGTGTGTGAGGGAGGCTGTGTGTGTGTGTGAGGGAGACTGTGAGTGTGTGTGAGGGAGGCTGTGTGTGTGTATGAGGGAGGCTGTGTGAGTGTGTGTGAGGGAGGCTGTGTGTGTGTGTGAGGGAGGCTGTGTGTGTGTGAGGGAGGCTGTGTGTGTGTGTGAGGGAGGCTGTGTGTGTGTGAGGGAGGCTGTGTGTGTACGAGGGAGGCTGTGTACAAGGGAGGCTGTGTGTGTGAGGGAGGCTGTGTACAAGGGAGGCTGTGTGTGTGAGGGAGGCTGTGTGTGTGAGGGAGACTGTGTGTGTGAGGGAGGCTGTGTGTATGAGGGAGGCTGTGTGAGTGTGTGTGAGGGAGGCTGTGTGTGTGTGTGAGGGAGGCTGTGTGTGTGTGTGAGGGAGGCTGTGTGTGTGTGAGGGAGGCTGTGTGTGTACAAGGGAGGCTGTGTGCGTGTGTGAGGGAGGCTGTGTGCGTGTGTGAGGGAGACCGTGTGTGTGTGAGGGAGGCTGTGTGTGTGTGAGGGAGGCTGTGTGTGTGGGGGGAGGCTGTGTGAGTGTGAGGGAGGCTGTGCTTGTGTGTGAGGGAGGCTGTGTGCGTGTGTGAGGGAGGCTGTGTGTGTGTGTGTGTGGGAGGCTGTGTGTGTGTGGGAGGCTGTGTGTGTGTGTGCATGTGTGAGGATGCATGGAAAATATCCCTACTTTCCACTCAAGTTTGCAGTAATCTAAACTGCTCTAAAAATAATAAAGTCTATTAACAATGCACTGGGGATGGTGTCTGTGTCCACTGCATTCAGCACAGGGATAGTCTAAGGCAAAGAGAATCAATGGTTAGTTTATTTCAACTGTCAAGTAGCTAAAATTATTAGCTAAAACTGATTTTAAAAGCACAAACTATATTATGCATTATATTGTATATATTCTAAATAAATGTTTAAAAGAAAGTTTTCAAGAAAGTCTAATATAATTTTAAAATATATTTATGACATTGTATGCAAGAAACAAAATTTAAAGAATGAGGCTGTTATGCTTGAGAAATGCTTTGCTTGGAACGTTCCAAAATTGATAGGAATTGTCCTGGGCCATTTTTCTTTATGAAAAGCTGAATGATTTGATGAGGTTGCCTGGGAAGGGGATCCTCAGCTGCATGTTGCGAAGCGTTGGCTACTCACAGATGTGCTTCTCTTATATTTGGCACCAAATCACCAAGCCCCGTGTGCAGACACCCGGAGTGGCCGAGTGGGGCCCGGACCAGCCAGGCTCTGCCATGCCCTGAGCTGGCCACGCACGTCCACCCCGGGGGTGCATTTTCCAATGTGCGCAAGAGGCCGGGGAGCTGCAGGCAGCCGGCACCATCACTGCTCTGGGGCCGGCCGAGAGCGCCTTCCTTCTGAGGGTGGGGAGTGCAGCTCGCGGGCTCCGCGGCTGAGTGGAGCCCTGGGCTTCTGAGCCTCCCTGGCCTCAGGGATCGGAAGAGGCCGCCGGCCCTGGCCTAGGATTAGGTGGTCACTGACTTGGGCCCCGCTTGGGGGTCCAGGAACCTGGCTTTTGGTTCTTCCTGGCCCGTGGCTCACTCCCTCCTCTGGGGCCCCAGGCCTTGGTCCTGAGGCCTAGGATTGTTCTGCATTGTGAGCACGGGAGCTGGGCCGTCTCGACGTGCTGCCCAGTTCCTGCTTGTTGCCTTTCTATTTTCAAGATATTTTCATTCGAAAAGCAGAGTAGGAACACTGGGTATGTTTGAAGTCGCTCCTTATTTTCCCTCTTTGCCCCTTTCTCCCTCCTCCCCCCTTTCCCACTCCTGCTTGCACTGAATGGTGCGTGTCTGAGGAAGGCAAAGGAGCGGGCACATCTGCCTGTGTTCCCGCCTGTGGTGCGGCCTGTCCATCACGGACGGTGGGGGGCGCCGGGCTCTGCAGACGCGTCCCCGAGAGCCCTCCGCCTTTGTGTGGCCTCGCAGGCATCTCGGGCCGGCTCTCGGACAGGAGGCGGCGCGGCCGGGCTGCACGGAGGGAAACGGCGCGGGCCTGGCGTCTCCTCCTTGCCATTGTCCGCCCGCCCGCGCAGCTGCCAGGCTGCCTCCCGGATTCCCTGGGCTTTGCAAAGTCCCATAGAAACCCGCAGGACGCTTGCAATACTCGAGGTTATTTTCTGCTAATCACCCGGCCCCGTCGTCGTGAGCATATATGCAATATCAGACCAGCAATTACCGTCAGCCTGGCCCTGGGCAAATGTGTTTCTGCTAATTACACTTGTTGCATTTGAATGGCTTTCTTCAGCCAAGCTGCACGGCGAAACCTAGTGAACAATAAAAGAGACCATTTCCCCTTCCGCCCCGCCCGAAGCTGCAGATGGCCGCCCTGTGTGGAAGCAGTAGCGCCTGAATTAACCTTTTGTGTGCACCAAAGAAGGTAATTTGAATGTTTGAAACCCCACAGGAAGCTTGTCTCAAAGTGAACAATTCGCCGAATAAAGACTAATTGGGGACTAAATTAATTAGAAGGTGTGGTTGGAAAGGATGTTGATGAGCAGAGTCTGCCATTTCAGACAAATGGAATCGAGCTAAATAAATTAGTCCCCATTAGTCCCACACCGTTCGCCAGCCCCGCGCCTCTCCTGCGCCGCCGGAAAGGAGCCCGGGAAGCCGTGCTTGCCTCCCACGCAGCCCAGGGAGAGGCGTCTCCGCCGATCCTTGTAGCTCCTGCAAAGTAATATTTATATTTCCTGGGTGTTCTGTTTTTCATCTGGAAAACTGGCCTGGAATGTTATTGACTTTGTTTTTTTGTTGTCACTGAGTTGTCAGAGGCAAGTTTTACATAAAAAATGTGAAATTACATAAAAGGAGGGCTCGGGGGGTATGGAGGAAAGTGGAGTGACAACATTGCAGCCACACTGGACTTTCTCTCCACCTTGGCATTTGTGTTTTCCGTGATGCTCGGTTTTTATCTCACAAACCAGCATCCTCCGGGTGCTCCCGGGTCCTAACAGCCCTCTGGTGACGCCGTGCTCCAAAACCTCACGGCGGCACATGATCAGAACGCATTGCAAGGACGTGTGTGACACCTTCCTGCTCTCTGAAAATGAAACGTCTCGTTCTGTCTTATCTCCTTCCCTTCTCACAGATGGAGTGTTTGGAAGGTGCCAGAAGGTTCCGGCAATGGACTTTTACCGCTACGAGGTGTCGCCCGTGGCCCTGCAGCGCCTGCGCGTGGCGTTGCAGAAGCTTTCCGGCACAGGTAGGGCGGGCGTGGGCCGAGGCTCGGCGGCTGCCGCACTGAGCGACCGCACGGGCTTGGCTTCTCCTCCTGGGCGGTGAGGAGCTGGGACGGACTGAATCCACGAGTGTGGTGGTGGAAGGGGCAGGTGGGAGCCGGGCGCTGGGCTCATGGGTGCTTCCTACTGGGATCGTCCGTTCCTGGGTTTGGAGGAGCCCAGGCCTGCTGCCTCCTGTGTCTGAGGGAGGAGATGACAGGAGGCTGCAGTGGCCCGCAGCTGGGCCTGGCACAAAGTAGGCAGGCGTCGGCTGCTTATCTGGGCCTGGCTGGGTCCGGTGCAGGCGTGGCTCGGCCTGGAGAGAATCAGCCTCTGCCTGTCACTGTTGTGAAATTTTTGTTGCAGGTGGTCCCTGCAGGGGTGATGAGAAGATAATTTTTAAAATTATGATAATTTAAAAATTATATATGGCAACATGGTAGGACCAGGGAATTCCCACAGCACCGGCCCACTGCTGCCCTTCTTTGACTGTGAAGTGAGGGCTCTTGGTCAGAAGCAGTGCTGTGTGGACACCATGGTGATGGATAAGGCGTTCTGACTCCACGGAGGGTAGTTCTGGCAGGAGCACTGTGCGTAGGGAAGGGAAATCCACATCTGGAGTAAGCGTCTAGTCCAGCAAGGACCATTCCCCACCCCTTCCACAGGGGAAGCTGCCTGCGGAACCACCTGCCCCCCGGCGGCTGGCTGATCACCTCGGGGAATGATGTCATGTTGGGGACTCAGGGATGGTCTTTGTGGTGGCTGACTGGGGACTCAAGGGTGGCCACAGCAGGGCTGGCCTTGTTGAGTGGGAGCCCAGGCATCACCTCCAACTCTGCCACCGCGACCACCTTGTTCATGGGCCCATGGGGCAACGGCAGGGTGGCTGGGGAAAGAGGCTGACTGGTGTCCACAGAACAGGTCACCCTATCCACTTGGTTATTAAAATCCTCCTCTGCTGAGGTCACTCTTTGGAGAACATTCACACGGGACATTCATATCTTAGTACTTCATACCACTTCATAGACGTCTATCTAATATGTCTCTTCCCCAGTTGCCCTTGTCAACAATGTTTCCAACCATATTCTCTCCGAGTCCCTGGCCCTCCAGCCAAACCACTGGCCACAGCCCATTAATTCATAAGTAATCACACATCTGGCCGTTTCTCCTTCCAGGCGGAATCACCAGCCAGGTGCACTGCTGGAGATTCTGCTCACAGGAGGGTTTCCAATCACCTCTGTCCTTCAGGGGTCCCGGGTTCACCTCTGTCCTTCAGGGGTCCCGGGTTCACCTCTGTCCTTGAGGGCGTCCCGGGTTCACCTCTATCCTTCAGGGGGTCCCGGGTTCACCTCTGTCCTTCATGGGGTCCTGGGTTCACCTCTGTCCTTGAGGGCGTCCTGGGTTCACCTCTGTCCTTCAAGGGGTCCCGGGTTCACCTCTGTCCTTGAGGGCGTCCCGGGTTCACCTCTGTCCTTCAGGGGGTCCCGGGTTCACCTCTGTCCTTGAGGGCGTCCCGGGTTCACCTCTGTCCTTCAGGGGGTCCCGGGTTCACCTCTGTCCTTCAGGGGGTCCCGGGTTCACCTCTGTCCTTTAGGGGGTCCCGGGTTCACCTCTGTCCTTGAGGGCGTCCCGGGTTCACCTCTGTCCTTCAGGGGGTCCCGGGTTCACCTCTGTCCTTCAGGGGGTCCCGGGTTCACCTCTGTCTTTTAGGGGGTCCCGGGTTCACCTCTGTCCTTGAGGGCGTCCCGGGTTCACCTCTGTCCTTCAGGGGGTCCCGGGTTCACCTCTGTCCTTCAGGGGGTCCCGGGTTCACCTCTGTCCTTTAGGGGGTCCCGGGTTCACCTCTGTCCTTGAGGGCATCCCGGGTTCACCTCTGTCCTTGAGGGCGTCCCGGGTTCACCTCTGTCCTTCAGGGGGTCCCGGGTTCACCTCTGTCCTTTAGGGGGTCCTGGGTTCACCTCTGTCCTTGAGGGCGTCCTGGGTTCACCTCTGTCCTTCAGGGGGTCCCGGGTTCACCTCTGTCCTTGAGGGTGTCCCGGGTTCACCTCTGTCCTTCAGGGCGTCCCGGGTTCACCTCTGTCCTTCAGGGGGTCCTGGGTTCACCTCTGTCCTTGAGGGCGTCCTGGGTTCACCTCTGTCCTTCAGGGGGTCCTGGGTTCACCTCTGTCCTTGAGGGCGTCCCGGGTTCACCTCTGTCCTTCAGGGGGTCCCGGGTTCACCTCTGTCCTTCAGGGGGTCCCGGGTTCACCTCTGTCCTTTAGGGGGTCCCGGGTTCACCTCTGTCCTTGAGGGCGTCCCGGGTTCACCTCTGTCCTTCAGGGGGTCCCGGGTTCACCTCTGTCCTTCAGGGGGTCCCGGGTTCACCTCTGTCCTTTAGGGGGTCCCGGGTTCACCTCTGTCCTTGAGGGCGTCCCGGGTTCACCTCTGTCCTTAAGGGGGTCCCGGGTTCACCTCTGTCCTACAGGGGTTCCGGGTTCACCTCTGTCCTTCAGGGGGTCCCAGCATGGGTGGTGTGTAGTGCTACACGTGTCTGCTTTTGGGTGGTGCCTGTGCATTACACAGAACCACCCACAAACAAAGCCCAAGTCACCTGAGCCCAAAGTCCATGGGGAACCCTCCACAAAGCCAAACTGCGGGTTGAGAGGGAGAAACGCGTGTGGCGGTGTGGGCCAGGGCGCCGGGCAGCTCCCTGATGCACACTCCAGGCCACACTGGACTCCTGAGCCCTTTCCCCACGGGAGCCTCCAGGGCGGCTTGGGCCCAGCTCCTGCTCCATATGTGCCACTGTCGTTTGGCGATGGGGTGCTGTGCGCAGGCCAGTGCCAGGCTTGGCAGGGCACGTAGATATGGGTATCAATGTAGATGACACAGACGGAATGCTGCCCACGCAGGGACAAACATGGAGCGAGCCATATTGAAGGAAGGTTGTGTAAATATTCAACTGTGTCACATTTTCTGAGTTTGCTTGTCTTGTGAGCCTTACTCTGTGTTTCACCCTTCACTTTATTATCTTGAGAAGAGGGAAAAGCCTCATTTAAGGAGCAAACAGATGAGCTTTTGCCACTCTGATGGCTGGACGTGCGAGTGGAGGCCAGGGGTCTTTCAATGAGAATGGGCGTGACTCTTTCAGAACTTCCCCTGAGCGTAATTTCAGCCCGGCTCTAGGTATGTATGTAGCTATCACCATGTGTTGGCAACTGGCACTGAACATCATCACGTTTCTGTGCTATCCTGTGCTGAGATGTGGTGGGGGCAGCGTGCCGGAGTTCACCTGAGCTCCCTTGTCATGGGAGCTAGTGCCACAAGGGCTCCGGGGCCCTGCCTGGGTGGGCGTCCTGGGATGAAATGAAACCAGAGAATGCACAAGACTCTCAGCCTGACAAACTAGAAAAAAACCAAGAAATTTAAGGTGAGTTTCAAAAGGAGGGATAGAAAAATATCTAGTGGCCCCGAATTCCCCAACAGAGATGAGTTTTCTCACCTATGATTTTAAAGCAATAGCTTTTTCTAGTTTGTCTCATATATCCATGAATTTAAATTACATGACAATAATCTAACCAAATAATGGCAAAAGGTAACTCCTAAGGAAAACCATCTCAGAGAAAATTAATATTGTGCCGAGTGTCAGGCTATGTCCACATTCCTGGCACCTGTTCTTGAGGATAAGAGCATCTTTATGGAGATGGAGTCCCAGGCAGCCCCACATGGGGATAGGGGGGTCCCAGGCAGCCCCATGTGGAGATGGGGGGTCGTAGGTATCCTTGCATAGAGACAGAGGTCCCAGGCAGCCCTGCATCTCCAGTCTTGCTCAGGCCCTGGCTGAGCGTCTGCCCAGGTGTATCAGAACTGCCCATGGCCTGGGCAGCTGGAGCCCTCTGCCCAGCTCCATCCCCAGGGACTGTGTGTCCTGGGCTGTTGGACTCTCTAGACAGTGAAAAGTCATCTTCTGCATTGTGGGGACACAGAATTGCTGACACCTTCCCAGCTGGTTCTGACACAGCTGTGGGGTGTGTCCTGGGGTGGGCATTTCCAGCAAACCCTGGGGATGACCCCGTGGCAGGAGGACGACCCTGTGGCAGGAGGCCTCTTTGGTTGCCAGGGCCATTGGTGTGTCTAGTCCAGGATGCAGGCTTCTGGAAGGTGGGCATGCTGCGAAGGCACACGTACCTGCACATGCATTCACATGCTCACGTGTAGACACAGACACATTTGCACACACACTTGCACACTCATACACATGCTCACATGTAGATACCCACACGCAGACAAACCTGCACACACATTCACGTGCTCATGTGTATATACCCACACACGCACACACCTGCACACTCACCTGCACACACACATGCTCACATGTAGACATGCACACACGCACACACCCCTGCACACTCATTGACATGCTGACATGTAGACATCCCCACACATGCATGCACACCTGCACACACACATGCTCATGTGTAGACATCCACACACATGCACACACACCCATGCTCACGTGTAGGGGATATCTACACGTGAGCACGTGAATGAGTGTGCAGGTGTGTGTGCGGGTATCTACACATGAGCACGTGAATGAGTGTGCAGGTGTGTGTGTGGGTATCTATATGTGAGCACGTGAATGAGTGTGCAGGTGTGCATGCATGTGTGCAGGCAGACACACATGCATGCACACTTGAAGGAAAGAATCTCAAATCCTGGTGTCTTCCTGAGTTTTGTCAGCCTCACATGGGGGGAGTGTTTGAGTAGGGAGGTTTTGCGTGTGGGTGTCTACACTGGAGCACATGTGTGTGCAGGTGTCTGTGCGTGTGTGTGGGTGTCTACACGTGAGCACGTGTGTGTGCATGTGTGGGTGTCCACGTGAGCATGTGAATGAGTGTGCAGGGGTGTGTGCATGTGTATGTCTACATGTGAGCATGTGAGTGCATGTACAGGTATGTGTGCATGTGTGCATGTGTGTGTGTCTACACCTGAGCACGTGAGTGCATGTGCAGATGTGTGTGGGTGTCTATGTGTGAGCACATGTGTGTGCATGTGTGCGTGTGTCTACATGTGAGCACGTGAGTGCGTGTGCAGGTGTGTGTGCATGTGTGTGGGTGTCTGTGAGCACGTGTGTGTTGGTGTGTGTGCATGTGAGTGTCTACACATGAGCATGTGAGTGCATGTGCAGGTGTGTGTGCATGTGTGGCTGTCTACACGTGAGCACGTGTGTTTGCCTTGTGTGGGCGTCTACATGTGAGCATGTGAATGAGTGCACATGTGTCTACATGTGAGCACGTGTGTGCATGTGTGTGTCTCTACACGTGAGCATGTGAATGTGCAGGTGTGTGTGCATGTGTGTGGGTGTCTACATGTGAGCACGTGAGTGCATGTACAGGTATGTGGGTGTCTACACGTGAGCACATGTGTGTGCAGGTGTGTGCGTGTGTGGGTGTCTACACGTGCAGGTGTGTGGGTGTCTACACATGAGCATGTGAGTGTGTGTGCAGGTGTGTGTGCATGTGTGTGGGTGTCTACACGTGAGCATGTTCATATGCAGGTTTTTCAGGATTCCAGAAATGATTCTGTCTTGGTAACTGCGCTTGAAACAGAGTTGATCCTGTGCTTCTGCCTGTCGTCTTCATCCAGGCCACTTCTTGCAGGTGCAGTTGTCAGATTCATTGACAGACAGCTGCTTGCGCGGCCTTCAGAGTCTTCTGCACGAAGAGGAGGGTAAATGGGAGTTAATTTCACAACCTTCTTCCTCCAGGTAGATGTGTACATCACAGAACAAAATACGTTCACTGTGTTTTTACCATTCTTGTCTACTACAGGCAGCATTATTTCATGGGCAGACACACTGCTCTCTCATGTATGATTTTTTTTTAAATACATTTCACTTTTTCTGACAAGCCATTAAAATTCAGCATTTAAATGTCACTCGTTGGCATGCAATTTGCTGTCATGAAAACGACTGTGGATTCATTTCCTGGTAAGAATCTTCTGACTTATTGAGCTGCATGTCAGAAGCAAAAAGCAAAAAAACCAAGTATGTACATAAAACAGTGTTATCATTCCTTAAAAGAGAAGGAAAATAAATCCCTAAATAATGTGGACTGGAACACAGAAATCCAAGGCTGGCCGCACGGGTCCTGGCTGGGATGGCATCCGGGGAGCTGCTGCTGGGGACGTGCTTGCTGGCACAGGTCAGGGGAGCCGGGTTCTGCCTCCTGCTTGCCCACTCTCTTTGCGCCCTCCCTGTGCTCGCCTGTCTTGTTTTACCTCCCATCCTGGGCCCTTGGAGCTTGGAGGCTTTCCTTCTTGCTGAGAGGAGCTGAGATCCACCCCCTACCCGACCTCCAGGCAGATGTGTGGTGTGGGGTTGGGGAGGGAGAACGTCTGGCTCACGTCTGGTGAGCACAGGTGGGTGTGTTGGAGTCACGCGTGGTGCTCACCCTCCGTGTGACTCGCGCTCTGTCCGGCTCAGGGCTCGCCCTCCGTGGGACTTGCGCTCTGTCCGGCTCAGGGCTCGCCCTCCGTGGGACTTGCGCTCTGTCCGGCTCAGGGCTCGCCCTCCGTGGGACTTGCGCTCTGTCCGGCTCAGGGCTCGCCCTCCGTGGGACTTGCGCTCTGTCCGGCTCAGGGCTCGC
This sequence comes from Homo sapiens, assembly GCF_000001405.40. NCBI lineage: Eukaryota > Metazoa > Chordata > Mammalia > Primates > Hominidae > Homo > Homo sapiens. Next base: position 166,980 of record NT_187560.1, read on the forward strand.
CCTCCGTGGGACTTGCGCTCTGTCCGGCTCAGGGCTCGCCCTCCGTGGGATTTGCGCTCTGTCTGGCTCAGGCTGCGCAGGGCAATGGAGGAACCTCCCGAGCAGGCCCAGCGGCTCCTTCCACCCAGCCCCCATCTCCGGCCGGCCATTTGTGAGGCCCTCTGCCACTGAGGTGCACTGTTTCCAATTCCTCATTCACAAGCTCTACCTTCCACAGGAGCCCAGAGCATGAACGCATTCGGCCATGGTCCTCACCACTCTGCGAGGAGCACAGCCTCTTCTCCACCGTCCGATAGCGTGTTCCTCCTTTCCCAGGCCTCACAGAATGCTCTGTCTGCATCCTCCCAGCATTCCATTCATGATGGCCGAGCTGTTCTCTAAGAGATACTGCTTTGTCTTCCTTTTGATCTCTCAACACAAGCACTTTTAAAAATTCATCCATGGCGAAGGAGGCTTGTTCCAGCACACACCTCAAGACTCAGCCTCAACAAGTTTCCCAGACCCAAAGTTGCTTCTGCATTTTTAGGAATTTGTCACAGCCGTGCCGCTACTTCCCGGTGCCAATTTTTCTCTTGTTTGAGTTGCTGTCACAAAAATCACATGGCGTGGGTGGCTGAAACAGCAAACATTGATTTCTCAGAGCTCTGGAGGCTCCCCCATATTTGGTGTCTGGTGGTGGGTGGCTTCCTGGTTCATGGGTGGCATCTTCCCCCCGTGTCCTCATGTGGCAGACGGGGCAAGGGAGCGCTCTGGGATCTCTTTCGTATGGACACTAATCCCACCTGCATGGGCGCCGTCTTCATGACCTAATTACCCCCAAAGCCTTCACCTCCTAATGCTGTCACACTGGGGATCAGAATTCCAGCACTTACGTTTGGGGAGGATGTCAACATTCAGTCTGTATCATAGCATGTGTATTCTATGACCATAGTGTATCTCATTGGTTAGTTTTTATATTTGAACTAATCTTATATTCCTGGGATAAGTCTTACTTGACCATGCTGTATAATTCTTTTTATATGTTTCTGGATTTAGTATCTTAGTGTTTCGTTGAGAATTTTTATGTCCGTATTTATAAAGGATATCTCTTAATCTTTTGATATCTTTGGTTTTGGTATTATAGTAATACATAACTTGTCAAATGCATTAGTCAGGGTTCTCTAGAAGGACAGAACTAATAGGATAGATGTGTATATAAAGGGGAGTATTTTAAGGAGTATTGACTCACAATCACAGGGTGAGGTCCCATAATAGGCCCTGAGGAGCAAGGAAGCCAGTCTGAGTCCTAAAGCTGAATAACTTGAGGTCCGAGGTTCGAAGGCAGGAAGCATCCCGCAGGGGAGTAGCGTGTAGGCTGGAAGACTAAACTACTTTTGTGTTCTTCTGCCTGCTTTTATTCTGGCCATGCTGGAAGCTGATTAGATGGTGCCCACCCACATGCTGGAAGCTGATTAGATGGTGCCCACCCAGACTGAGGGTGGGTCTGCCTCTCCCAGTCCACTGACTCAAATGTGAATCTCCTTTGGAAATGCCCTCACAGACACACCCAGGATCAATACTTTGCATCCTTCAATCCAATCAGGTTGACACTCAATATTAACCATCACATCAAGTTAATTGAAGAGTATTCTTTCTTTATTTTTTTTGGAAGACTGTGAAAGAATGATGTTAATTCTTCCTTAAACATTTGAAGTGAAGCTATTGCAAATGGAAGCCATCTGACCATGGGCTTTTCTTTATGAGGTTTTAAATTACTCATTGAATTTCCTTAATTATTATAGGCATATTCAAATTTTCTATTTCTTCTTGAGTCAGTTTCAGTAGTTCATGTCTTCATAGGAATTTGTCAATTTCACCTAGGTTATCTAGTTTGTTGGCATATGATTACTTATAGTATTTCTGTATAGTCCTTGTAATTTTTATGTCTGTAAGATCAGTAATAATGTCTTTTCATTCCTGATTATTTTTTGAGTTGCTTTCTTAGTGTTTGCTAGAAGATTAATATTATTTAATTTTATTAACACCAAGTTAATATTAATTTATTAATTCAAATTAACATTAAGATCTTTATAATAATCTAGTTGAATTAATACCAACTTAATTTTCAAACACTCTCTGTCATTTTTTCTCTTTCCCTCCTTTGTGCTGTTATTGTCATGAAAATTATATCTTTATAGATTGTATGTTTATCAACATGGATTTATAATTATTGCTTTATGTAGGTTTTTTAAAGAAAATTAGGAGAAAATAAATGTTACATACTCAAATATTTGTTCTGTCTTTCATATTTACTAAATAATGACCTTTACTGGTGCTGTTTATTTCTTCATCTGGATACAACTCACTGTCTAATGTCCTTTCATTTTTGCCTAAAGTACTCCATTTAGAACTTGCTAGGGAAGGGTTGTTGGAAAAAATTCTCTTTGTTTTTTGTTTGGGAATGTATTGATTTCTCCTTTAGTTTTGAAGGATCGATTTTCTGAATATAGAATTCTTGGTTGATAGACTTTTTTCTTTTAGGACTTTGAATATATCATTCCACTGCCTCTTGGCCTTCATAGTCTCAGATGAGAAATTAGTTGTTAATATTATTGAGGATCATTGCCTATTTTCTGTTGCTTATCACAGAATATCTGAAACTGGGTAATTTATAAAGAAAAGGAATTTATTTATTACAGGTATCTGGGCTGAGAAGTTCAAGGTTGAGGGGCAGAATCAGGTAAGGGTCTTCTTGCTGTTGGGGACTCTCTGCAGAGTCCTGAGGTGGCACAGGGTATCACATGATGAGGAGGCTGAGCATGCTAGTGTGCTAGCTCAGGTCTCCCTTCCTCTTCTTAGAAAGTCACCAGGTCCCCTCTTGTGATAACCCACATGAATTAATTCATTAATTCATGAGTGGATTAATCCATTCATGAGGGCAGAGCCCTCATGACCCAGTTTCCTCCTCCCTCCTGATACTCCCAAATTAGGGATTAAACTTCAACATGAGTTTTGGAGGGGACAAATATCTAGTCCATAACATGTGTGACAAGTTGCTTCTCTCTTACTGCTTTCATTAGATTTACTTTGTCTTTGGGTTTTGAAGGTCTGATTTTGATGTATCTAGGTGTGGCTGTCTTAGAGTTTATTCTACTTGGAGTTCATTGAGTGTCTTAGATATGTAGATTCATGTTTTCCATCTAGTTTTGGGAATTTTGGGTCATTATTTCTTCAAATATTCTTTCTACCTCATTCTTCCTCTCCTACATCTGGGACTTCCTTTACGTGTATCTCAGTACATTGGATGGTCTCTCACAGGTTTCTAATTTTTTATTATTCTTTTTTTTTCTGTTCCTCAGACTGGATAATTTCAGTTGACCTATCCTGAAGTTTGCTGATTCTTTCTTCTGCTGCTAAGATCTGCTGTTGAGCTGCTGTACTGAATTTTTCAATTATTTTTGAAATATAATTTCTATCTTTTTATTCATATTCTCTATTTGATGAGACACTATTTTCCTACTTTTATTTAGCTCTTTAGACATTGTTCTTACAGTTTTTGGAGCACATTAAAAATAGCTCATTTAGTCTGGGCACAGTGGCTCATGCCTATAATCCCAGCACTTTGGGAGGCCGAGGCGGGTGGATCACTTGAGGTCAGGAGTTCAAGACTAGTCTGCCCAACATGGTGAAACCCCGTCTCTACTAAAAATACAAAAATTAGCTGGGCATGGTGGTGCATGCCTGTAATCCCAGTTACTTGGGAGGCTGAGGCAGGGGAATCAATTGAACTTGGGAGGCAGAAGTTGCAGTAGGCTGGGATCACACCACTGCACTCCAGCCTGGATGACAGAGCAAGACTCTGTCTAAAAAAAAAAAAACAAAAAACAAAAAAACAAAAAACAGCTCATTTAAAGTCTTTGTCTTGTAAGCCATTTGGCTTCCCCAAGAACAGCTTCTATTGTTTTCCTGTGGAAGAGGCACATTTGCATGTTTCTTTGAATGCCTCAAAAATTTTTAGTAAAACTCAATATTTTAAATAACATAGTGTGGCAACTTTGAAAACCAGAATTTCCCTCTCCTTAGGTGTTGTTGTTGTTGTTGTTGCTGTTTATTGTTGGTTGCTTGCTTAGTGACTATTCTGAACTAATTCTGTAAAGTTTGTGTTTTTTCATCATGTGTGGCCACCAAGTCTCTGCTCAGTTTGGTTAGTGGTCAGATGATGACCAGACAGATTGCCTTAAATGCCTAGAAACAAGCCTCAGTCTCTGCTGAGGGTTCTGTGTGAGTGTGGGGCATACCTTCAGCCATCAGACAGGCAGTTCACAGCTCTGTTGTAGCCTTCACTTCATGCTGGCCCAGAGCCTCTACATCAGCCAGTGGTGAGAGCTTAGAGCCTCATGTCTTCCCTGAGTGTGCACAGCCTGGGCAGGCACACAGCCCTCCATGTGTTGTGGCCATCCATATTCCAAGGATCGTGTCAGAGCTTTGCAAAGCACCTGTGCACATCTCATTTTCCAGCTTTTCCTTCAAGCTTTCTGGTTAGCCTATTGTTTGTCCCAACCATTATCCTCTACCTCAGGTGGCTGGTAAGTAAAACATTGTCTCTAAATGTTTTCAACAAATGCCCCCAGGGAAAGACTTTTCACATATGTGAGCTTTGAGTTGGATGAAATAAAGACAGCCTTTCCAGTGGGTCCTCCAGGGAACAACCAGACAGGTCAAGTAGTGACAATTCTCTGGGAATGGGGCTTTGAAGGCACTCTAACCCCACCCTGTGCTTTCTGGTGGCTTCCAGGCTGTTGGTTTTTACTGCCATTGTGGGCTGCTCATTTTCAAGCCTGTGGCAGAGCTGAGGAGAGGGAGCTGGAAATAGGGTGAGTTAAGATGCCAGGAAGTTCGCTGTTCTTGCTGAGATTCAGCCATTTCTTTCTTTTTCTTTCTTTCTTTTTTTTTTTTTTTGAGTAAATTGCTCTGATTTCTGCTAGCCTTTAGTTAATTTCCAGAGTTCTGTAAAAGTTGATTCTGATATTTTTGGGTGGTTTTCTCATTGCTTTTATGAAGGAGGGAATGTTTAAGGTTCTTTGCCATTTTCACTGATGTCTACAGCTACTTCCTAAGGCTGCTTTTCTCTGGTCCTCTCCTCAACGTTCATCTGGACATTGCCTTGGGGATCACTAGCTGGGGACAGCTTCACTTCAGTTTGATTTAAGTGTGATCTTGGTTTGTTGATTTCCTTGTCTAGTTGCTCCGTCTGTTTTATGTGGGAATTGGGGAATACCCAAAAACAATGCTGCCATGGCCACATCCATCTTTTTTTCTCTTTCTCTCTCCACCTCCCTCCACCACTGTCTCCCTCCCTCCCTCTCTCCCTCTATCTTTAGCTCTATGTTTTGTCTAATATAAAAATGAATCCCTATTTTTTCTGTTGTCCTTTCCTTGTTAAAAATATCCGTTGGATTCCTCTGCACTGAAGGAAAGAAGCCACTCTTGGCTTTAGAGTATAAACCAAAAATAAAATTCTAAGTCCCCCAGCCAGCTGAATGGACCCTTCCTCTTGGCCAAGGGCACTCTAAAGTAAACCTGAAACACTAGTTCAGGCCATGATGGGAAGGGGTGTTTGGACACACCTTATCCTACCCTCCTCCCTTGGTGTCCAGGCACAGCTGACCAGCGTTAACATTGGAACAGAGGCGTGAAGACAGACAAAGCAGACCTTTTGCAGCTATAAGGTACCAACATGGCAGATTGCAGGCCCTGAAAGAAATGGAAGTATTTTACCCCAAAATATATTTCTGCGATATATTTAAATGGCTTGCAAAGCTGTCTCTCCTGGGAAATGTCTACATTCTGTAGAGAATCCCTTTTCCTTTCCAGGTCTTTTCCCTGATCCAAGAGGGAATTAATTAAGAGTCTGGCACCTTTTCAAGTCTGATAAACATTGACCATCTATTCTCTCTGAAGCCTGCAACCTGGAGGCTTCATCTGCATAATAAAAACCTTGGTCTCCACAGTCCCTTATCTTAACCCAGACACTCTTTCTACCGATTCCCAGTCCTTAGATAAACTCAACCAATTGCCATTCAGAAATCTTTGAATTCACCTATGCCCTGGAAGACCCTGCTTAGTGTTTTCCCATCTTTCTGGACCAAGCCTGTGTACATCTTAGGGTATTGATGGGTGTCTTATGCCTCTCTAGCATGTAGAAATCCAAGCCTGTGTACGTCTTAGCCTATTGACGGGTGTCTTATGCCTCCCTAGAATGTAGAAATCCAAGCCTGTGTACATCTTAGTGTATTGACGGGTGTCTTATGCCTCCCTAGCATGTAGAAATCCAAGCCTGTGTACGTCTTAGCATATTGACGGATGTCTTATGCCTCCCTAGAATGTAGAAATCCAAGCCTGTGTACATCTTAGCATATTGACGGGTGTCTGATGCCTCCCTAGCATGTAGAAATCCAAGCCTGTGTACATCTTAGTGTATTGACGGGTGTTTTATGCCTCCCTAGCATGTAGAAATCCAAGCCTGTGTACGTCTTATGTGTATTGATGGATGTCTTATGCCTCCCTAGCATGTAGAAATCCAAGCCTGTGTACATCTTATGTGTATTGATGGATGTCTTATGCCTCCCTAGCATGTAGAAATCCAAGCCTGTGTACATCTTATGTGTATTGATGGGTGTCTTATGCCTCCCTAGCATGTAGAAATCCAAGCCTGTGCACATCTTAGTGTATTGTTGGATGTCTTATGCCTCCCTAGTGTGTAGAAATCCAAGCTGAAGCCCATCCACCTTGGGCACATGATCTTAGGCTCTCCTGGGGCTGTGGCCTGGGCCATTGGTCACCCACATGTGGCTCAGAATACATTTCTTCAAATAGTTTTCAGAGTTTGACCCTCTTCATCAACAGGAGCAGTAGTTGTCAGCCCTGACGTTATATTAAAATAATTTGGGAGCCTCGGAAACCATGGTGTCTGGGGCTTACCCTTCAAAGATTCTGAATTGATTTGTCTCATATGAGCCCTGCCATCAGCATCTCCTAAAAATTCTCCAGGTGATTTCAGTGTCTTCATATTTATTTTCTTCCATGAATAAAATGGGACTAACACTCTCTGAAGCTTGTTTTATATACCAACAATATGAATGGCTTTCTTCTTATTCCTGTCTTAAATTTTTATCCAGCTGTTTTAAGGTTTACACATTGCAAGCTTAATGACATTTTAATCCTGTATGGTAAATTAGTATAATGCATTTTGTTAAAATTTTCATAGAATAATGGAGAAGGGAATACTGGATATAGTATAGAGCAGTAAAATTTTAAAAGTAGTTTTAACTTACAGAATTCTACTGGTGCTTTCCTTTTGCTGTAGGGAAGTTACATCTCTTTATTTAGCAGATTAAAGAGACGGAATCACAGAGGGATTACAGGGTGTTCCTGGGGTCCTTCGGCTGGTGTGGAATGGAGAGCGGAATTCCAAACTCCCAGCAGCAGAGTGCAGAGCCGTGATTTTTAAAATGTTGTTCTCAGGATCACATCCTATTATTGAAAATTACTGAAGATTCCAAAGAATTTTTTTTTTTTTTTTTGGTGGGTTAGTGCTATCCACATTTGTTACCTTAGAAATTAAAATTGCCAACACTTTAGAAAAGCTGTTTATTAATTCACTTTAAAATAAATCATAAAATTATTTCATTATAAACACAGTAGCTATATTTTCCAAAACATAAAAAAGTGCTAAGTGTGACATTTTTGTTTTACATTTTTACATTCTTGTTTCACGCTTTTGCATATCTCATTGTTTCATTTAACAGAAAACACTTGGATTCTCATCTCTGCCTCCCACTCATTCTGTGTCATTTCCTGCCACATAGCCTCTGGACTGTTCCAAGTTCTCTCATAAAAGAGTACACGTGAGAAAGGCAAAGTATGTCTTAGTATTTTATGAAAATAGTTTTGGCCTCATGGACCACTTGAAAGAGCTTAGGGGCCTCTTACAGTTGCAGGCTGTGCTCTGAGCATTGATTGTGGAGAGACAACAGGGTGGCCTTGGAGTCCGGATGGAGTTTAAGTTCCAGCTGCGGCACGTGTGAGTCGTGCCATCTTGCGCACATCACGTAACTGCCCTGTTTTGGTTGTTTATCGTGAAACGAGGGTGGTCCTACATGCCCTAGGTTGAATGTGCTGGGACCAAACTCTGAGACAGAGATTTGCATGCAGTCGGTGACTGGGGGTGATCTGGGGTAACCCCCGTACAGGTGAGGGAAGCTGAATTGGGCAGAGGGAGAAGGTGAGCTGGAATGCAGTTTAAGAGGACCGAGCTGATCCTGTGAGGTGCTCTGCAGCCAGAGCTGGGGTTCCCCTTCAGGGTTGACCCAACCAAGGCTGGGGGCTAGGCCTTTGTGTCCCACATGAGGGATCACTGATGGTGGTTCACCTCCAGGGAGCAAGAGACTGTAACTTAGGGAGTGGCTGTTCCCTTGGGCTCAGGTGGTGATGGGGAGGGATTCAGCGGCTAACCCCTAGCCCTCAACAGCTGGTGTCTGGGGAGAGGATGCAGAGTCCCCAGGAAGCAGCAGTGTGGCTGTCACAGTACCCACCACCCTGAATGTCATCATTTCTCAGGTGTGTATTGTTTTCCCATCACTGAAATTAGGAGGCATCTTTTATAAATAGCACATCATAGTTTAACTGCCAGCGGGTTTGTTTTTCCTTAGCAGTACTAGAGTAATGGTCTGTCTTGCAATCAATAGCTTCCTAGATTGGAGGAGGTCATACCATCTCATGGGACAGGGGATTGCTTTTTTTGAGACAGGCTCTTACTCTATTGCCCAGGCTGGAATACAGCGGCACAATCTCGGCTTACTGCAACCTCTGCCTCCTGGACTCAAGTGATCCTCCCACCTCAGCCTCCCAAGTAGTTGAAACTACAGGTGCAAACCACCATGCCCAGCTAATTTTCGTATTTTTTGGCAGAGATGGGGTTTTGCCATGTTGCCCAGGCTGGTCTCAAACTCCTGGGCTCAAGCAATGCACCTGCCTTGGCCTCCCAAAGTTCTGGGATTATAGGAATGGGCCACCACGCCCAGCAAATGGGATTGTTCTTAAGATTAATTTAGATGGTGCCACTCATTAAATCCTCAGGAAGTGTGAATGCACTTTGCTTATCAGTACTAAGTGTGGTAGAAGCTTCCCTAATGATGTTGAAGGTTCACATAACTCAAACCAGCAAGAGCTGGGGAGTGGTGTGTAGGTTAACCGGGAAGCTGATAAATACAGAGCATTCTGCTAAGCACCTCGGGAGCTAAGACGATGACTCAGAATTGGGAGTTCTAGTTAGCTGCTTGGGAATTCTGAATAAATACATCTGTTCAGCTTCTTACAATTGAGCGCATATTAATGCAAACAGATCAGAACAGGGAGGAGGGGAGTGTGTCAGGAGCCGTTAACACAGAGCCTCGGGACAGCTGAGTTGGTCGTGGTTCGTCTGTGTTCATGCCCTGCAATGCTGTCTGTTTAATTTGCACGGCCCGTGCAAAGTGCAAATACAGGTCCTTAGTTCAGAAATCAAGGAAAAGTGCCCCTAAAGGAACTAGTTATAGTATAAGATGTTTCCTTTCACAATCTCCGTCTTGACTTGTCATGGGATTTTTATTTGCTATTCAGCATCATTCTAAAAACATTAAGATTTTTGAATTATTAACATGAAGGTTACCATTCATCTGTATATCGTGCGTTGCTGGTTTCAAATGCAAATGAAAGAACATTTAATTCACATGCAGAATCTGAACAACTACATAGTTCATCTGTCACAGCTCAAACATGCATATGTATTTCATTCTCATTACAGCGGTGGAAATGCTGTGTGAAACTCACTCGGCTGTGTTTATTTCCCTTCATGAAACAGCCCCTGTCCACCGAGATTCTCCACCTTTGCTCACACATGAGAAGGACTGTGGGCTGCCCACCTCCCCTCCCTCCACACGGCCACGTTCAGCATAAATGGTGGCTTATGTGGGAAAGCAATGTGAGTGGGAGAGAGGGTGGGACCCTTGGTCGTTTGTGTTTCTTAGAACACTGTTGCACTTTGTGGTTTGCAGCAAGCTCTGGGTAAGCAGAGGAGTGGCCTCTTAGGGCCACATGAGCACAGACAGACACGTGGGGGGCGAGGCGCTGCGGGACTGGGTGGCGGGCGAGGCGCTGCGGGACTGGGTGGCGGGCGAGGCGCTGTGGGCGTGCAGATTGGGGTGTCTTCTCTGCAGGTGCGCGCACCACGTCGCCTCATGGGATGTCTCACACAAAATATAGGTTGGGAGATAAAATCTTTGAGAATTTCAAGACAGCAACAGCAGCGTGTCAAAGCAAATGAGAAATTTTTCTGCACACAGGCCCCTGGCGACTACCTAGGTCCATGCTCCCGTGAGGCTGCCCACCTTCCAACCCTAGCCGTCGGATCAGACGATACGAGGGGACCTTTGGCCGTTTGCTTTATGGCCTTGACTCCAAGGGCTAGGGGTAGAGCCTGACTGTCACCATTGGGAAATGCCACAGTGGGCCCATCCCTCATAATTACAATCATTTCCGCATTTGTTTCTATGAAATGGACTTCAGTTAAGAAACTTTGCTTCTTCATTGACCCATATTATCATTTCAGAGGCATTCTCTGTGGTTCAAAGTGACATAAATTGCTTGCTGCCAAAACATCCTAGGTTTCTACAAAGTAAACAAATATTTTCAACTGTCAGACAGTGGGAAAAATGTGTTTCTTGGGAGGAAATGGTGCTCGTTTTGCCTGCTCTGACCCCATGAACCATTCAGTGGTGTTAACCGGAAAAGGCCTTTCCAGAACCTGCCCCTGAGCTGCTAATACTGTCCAAGGGCCTTTCAGGGACGTTCTCCTCCCAGACCAAGGTGCTCATTTTGCTGGGTTCTGGGGTAAAGACCCAACCCCAGCAAGCACCTGCCAGGGCTTCCCTGGGGGGCCTGGGAACCGCCAACTGCTCTGCCACTTCCTGAGGGAGGTGAGGGAGCTCTGTGGCAGTGAAGGATGAATGCAGCCAGCAGCTCTAGGACTGAGGAATCCATGTCTGCTGAAAACTGTCAGAGAGGTGAGAAGCTCATTTACAGCTCTCAGAAGGCCCTGGCTATCTGTCTTTGCCATGTTAATGAGCTAAAAAAAATTGCTTCCTGGTCAGGCGTGGTGGCTCACACATGTAATCCCAGCACTCTGGGAGGCTGAGGCCAGCGGATCAAGAGGTCAGGAGTTTACGACCAGCCTGGCCAACATGGTGAAACCCCATCTCTACTAAAAATACAAAAATTAGCCGGGTGTGGTGGCATGCACCTGTAGTCCCAGCTACTCCTGAGGCTGAGGCAGGAGAATTGCTTGAACCTGGGAGGCAGAGGTTGCAGTGAGCCAAGACCATGCCATTGCACTCCAGCCTGGGCAACAGAGTGAGACTCCCTCTCAAAAAAAAAAAAAAATTGCTTCCTGAGAGCCCTGCGTGCATCTGCAGAAAGGTGGGAAGGACAGACTTGCATGGCAGTTTCCCCAGGGCAGCCCAGGTCTGCAAGCTATTCAGTAACCACTGAGATTTGTCTCGGGAATATGCCAGTCTTGGGTGGGATAAAAAGCATTGATTAGTGTCAAAACTTCCCCTCCAGTTTGAATTTAATAATGCACTGACATCATCGCTCACCAGACTGCTGTGACGTTCTGTCCATTAGTGTCTGCAGGGAGGTCATGAACATCCTGCTGGATTTGAAAACGGGCTGAGCTGCACCCTCCTTCCTGTGCGGTTCCCTGAAGGCCCCTCCCAGGACAATCGGCAGTGGCTGTCAGGGCCACAGAGGCATCGTGTTCCTGTGGCTCAGGAGGTATTTGGGTGCTGGCCCAGGAAGAAGTGATGACATGAATTTTACCCCTGGGTCTGGGCTGTGCTGTTTTTACTTTTTTGAAGGTGGGAGGTCCTTGGACCCAGGGGCTCAGCAGGAAGAGGAGAGAGGACAGGCAACCCCAGGAGGTGCTTGGAGGTGACATTGTGGGGCCTGATTTCCTCCTGATGTGCCCGAGCACAACTTTGGCACATCCTGCTGGGCCCTTGCGCCCTCCTCCAATCTGAAGCCTCACAGCTTTTTCACTTGGGAAGTTTCTCGGCCATTCCTTCAGAGGTGGCCTCCCCCGCAAGCTCTTCATTCTTTTCTTCCAGATTCACGGCACATAAACTTTGTTATGTGCACAAAATTATTAAAAATTACATAACATTACCTTCAGGCCTTCTATATAAGGTATAAGGAAACACAAGTAATTTCATGTTTCGACTTGGGTCCTGTCCCCAAGATATTTCATTATGTACATGCAAATATTCCAGAATAAATCCAAACATATCTGAAATCCAAAGCACTTCTAGTCCCAAACATTTCAGATGAGGGATATTCAACCTGTGTCATATTATTTTATTCCTTTTTGTGTGCCTGAAACGTTTCATAATAAGAATAAAAGGACGAACAAAGCAAGCAAAAGACATTAAAAAGAAGAAAATAATGAAGACAAGAGCAGAAAATACTGAAATAGGTATGAAGAAATGAGGGCAAGCATCAAGAACACAAACAGCAGAAATATCTCTGGGTCTTTGAAAAGACTTACAGAGCTCTTTTTACCGACAATGACAAAAAAGGGCATAAGTACACAATTAATGAGAGGAAAAAGGGAATTCCACCATAGGTAAATTGAGTTCAAGAATCGTAAGAAAACACTACTAATGACTTTGTTCTAAGAAATTTGAAAAGGCAATTAGAAAAAAAACCTGTAAGTTGATAAAAGTGACTCAAAAAGTAAAGAAAACTTGAGTTAGTCTATATTCATTAAAACATGCATTCCTTAAATTTTCAGTCAACTTGTTTTGTAACTTCAGTAAGAGTAGTCCACATTCACAATAGGAAATTCATTCTGTCCACAAACCATCCTATTGTGATATTCTCCAAAATATATGTGGAGAGGTGAGGGAACAGCATAACTGGGGTGTGTGGTTAGGTAGGATGGGGGTTAGTTATTTTAAACATAGGCACGTGTGGTGTGCACCTGTAGCACTCTTAACCTCTAAACATTGGCCATTCTCTGTTTTACAAGAAACCTGATTATATTTTTTACTAAGTCCATATTTCTTTGGGACCTGTCCTTAATGACTCTGAAAGACCCCTCCTTACTGCTGGGTTTTGTAGTCAAAGGAGAAATGAGGGCTGTACGTGAAGACCCTTCCCAAGACAAGATGCTTCTGTGTCTGATGAAGAATGAAGCCTCAAGTCAAGCTCACCAGGTCATGGGCTGAGGGTTGCTGAACCACAAGGAGATACCGTATCACAAATGAACGGACTTTGCAGTGTCATCACTGTGGCTCCAGGGGCGTCTTCCCTTCCCAAAGGGTTTCTGGCAGATCCCTTTGAACAGAGAGTTTCTCTGGTACATTTCAGAATAGGTTCCCAGATTGTTAACACCAGGACAGAACGGCTGAAAGCCAGAGAGTTAGCAGCTCTCTCTGAATGATGATCAATCTGAAATGAAGAGAAAGTCATTCTGTAGCTAGGAAACATGATCAGTTTTTAAAAGCTTATGCCCAGCCATTGGCAGAAGCTGTATATGTGCTGTGCTGGTCCCTCCGGGACTGGATCCTGAGAGCTCCCAGGATTTTCACCGTTACCGCTTCAGAAGCAGAGGAACTAGTAAGGCGCACGTTTGTGTTTGGATGGAATGCTATCCATGGACATTCCAAATGTTGCCCCCGGCCACATCTGCTGGTCTCTCCTGCCCCACCACCCCAACTGCTCCACCACCCAAGCTCCACCTCCCTTAGAGTTCCCTGAGTGCCGGGCGTGTCCACCTGTGGTCTTCCCATGGTCTTCCTGTGGGCCAGGTGGCCATGTGCCTCTGTGACCACAGCCTACATGCTTGGCTCCATCTGCTGCCTCAGAAAGGCCAACTGCCGCCCAGAAGAGAGTGGGTCAGGAGGGTTGAGATGAAGTGAAACAGGAAAAGTTCCCTTATTCCCCTCACAGGGCGTGCGATGGAGGAGTGGGTTGCTTCTTCAGTGCCCCACTGCTCCCACCTGCAGGGGAGCATACAGACGGGCAGGCTGTGGGCTCAGACCCCACGGCCGTGTCTAGGGGTGAATGCTTACAGCTCCTAAAGCCCCAGTGGGCGTGTGTTACAGGGTGCTTTTTTAGTTTCGCCGTCTGTGGGCGGCTTGTGTTAACCAGCTCAATTAGACCCTCTGCCTTATTGCAAGGACAGGGGGCTTTCTGTGTCCTGGAGTTTCTTGCCTTGGTGTACTGGAAGAATCAGATCGCACATGGGCTTGGAGAATGAGCGCAAGGTTTTATAGAGTGGAAGTAACTCTCAGCAGGAGCCAGAGGGAGATGGACTGGGAAGGCAGTTTTCCCCTGGAGTCGGGCCGCTCAGCAGCCAGGCTCTCCTCCAACTACCTCGTCTGCTGGTGCCTGTCAGTGAGTTCTTCTGCCGGTGTGCTCCTCTTGACATCCAGCCCTTGTGTCTTTGCCCGCTAGGGTCTTGGGGAGCTGCTTGTGTCTCTGCCTGCTAGGGTCTCAGGGTTTTTATAGGCACAGGATAGAGGCGTGGTGGACCAGGGTGGTCTTGGGAAATGCAACATTTGGGCACAAAAACAAAAATGCCTGTCCTCGCCTAGGCCCATGGGAAAGGTCCAGGGGTAGAGCCCTTGCCAGAGACCCGCCCTTCTCCACCCAGCACTTCCCTGCCCATCTCCCGTATCAGAAGCAATCCAAACTCATCTTTCTGTTTATTTAACTAAGCAACCATCTCAGACAAGGTGCCTGATGATGTGAAAATGAAAAGTGAGAAAATGAGGATTCGACAGCTCACCTCAGCTGCTAGTGCACAACTGGGTGCTATGGAGATGTGGGGCAGCATCTGGGCAGACAGGCAGGGTCAGCGGGCGCCGTGGGCTTGGACCCTCAGAAAGGCGGGTGAACCGCGCGCATGGAGAGTGGTGCAGTGTTTGGGCAGACAGGCAGGGTCAGCAGGCACCGTGGGCTTAGACCCTCAGAAAGGCAGGTGAACCACGATGTGGTGCAGTGTCTGGGCAGACAGGCAGGGTCAGCGGGCCCCATGGGCTTAGACCCTCATAAAGATGGGTGAACCACGCACATGGAGAGTGGTGCAGTGTCTGGGCAGACAGGCAGGGTCAGCGGGCTCCATGGGCTTAGACCCTCGGAAAGGTGGGTGAACCACGCGCATGGAGAGTGGTGCAGTGTCTGGGCAGACAGGCAGGGTCAGCGGGCCCCATGGGCTTAGACCCTCAGAAAGGCAGGTGAACCACGATGTGGTGCAGTGTCTGGGCAGACAGGCAGGGTCAGCGGGTGCCATGGGCTCTGACCCTCGGAAAGGCGGGTGAACCACGATGTGGTGCAATGTCTGGGCAGACAGGCAGGGTCAGCGGGCGCCATGGGCTTGGACCCTCAGAAAGGTGGGTGAACCATGCGCGTGGAAGGTGGTGCGGTGTCTGGGCAGACAGGCAGGGTCAGCGGGCGCCGTGGGCTTGGACCCTCAGAAAGGTGGGTGAACCACGCGCGTGGAAAGTGGCGCAGTGTCTGGGCAGACAGGCAGGGTCAGCGGGCCCCATGGGCTTAGACCCTCAGAAAGGCAGGTGAACCACGATGTGGTGCAGTGTCTGGGCAGACAGGCAGGGTCAGCGGGTGCCGTGGGCTTGGACCCTCAGAAAGGTGGGTGAACCATGAGCGTGGAAATAGAAGCACACTGAATTCTGGGCGACCCGTGCTCCCAGGTCTCCTTGTGGCTGGATGTCTTTCCTGCCTCTCACTCTTCCCCCGGGAACACTCCTCCCTCCCCGCTTGCTCCTGCCTGGCCTGGCTCAGCCCTGCCTCTCGCATCCTCCTGTGTCAGAGGCACACGCATGTCTGATGCTGTTGCTCAGGGATATCAGTTGAGGAGCTGAGGGCCGGGAATTACGTGACTTATTCCCAAATGAGTAGATGGAAGAAATGGAACGTCTGTGATTCCAGGCCAGGAGGGAATAGTTGACGCCAGAGTAAACCTTTAATTTACATGAAAAACTTACAAAAAATATGGGAGCCAGACATGAAAACAACAAACTCTCATGTAATTTCATCACTTTGGGGGAAAACAAAAATCCTTCTTATTTTTATGTATTTGAGAATCAAGCTTTTGTGTCTCAGAAGGTCCTTAGATATTCTTGTAGGTTCAAGTGATGTTGAGAAACTGTAAACAGCAAGCACAACATAACAATGTTTCCACCAGCAGCAGATCGCGTACATGATGGTGGTCCCATATGGTTGTAGTGGAGCTGAAAACCCCTGTCACCGACTGACCTTGTGGCCCTCATGATGTCACAGTGCAGTGAATTACATGTTTGTGGTGATGCTGGTGTAGACGAGCCAACTGCACTCCCACTTGTATGAAAGTCTAGTCTAGCTGTGCACGGTACATGTGTATTTGCTGTACTTTTATCATTATTTTAGAATGCACTCTTTTTACTTATTAAAAAGCAAAACTAACACTCACACAGACTCAGGCAGGTCCTTCAGGAGATATGCCGGCAGAAGGCATTCTTCTCATAGGAGATGATGGCCCCACATGTGCTATTGCCCCTGAAGACCTTCCTGTGGGACAAGATGTGGAGGTGGAAGACAGTGATATTGATGAGCCTGCCCTGTGTAGGCCTAGGCTAGGGTGTGTGTTTGTGTCTTAGTTTTTTTTTTTTTTAACAAAAAAGTTTTAAAAGTGGAAGAAAAGTGTAAATAGGAAAAAGCTTATAGAATAAGGATATAAAGAGACTATTTTTATACTGCTGTACTATGTGTTTGTTTTAAGCTAAGTGTTATAAGAAAAAGTTAAAAGTAGTTAAAACATTTATAAAGTACACAAGTTACTATTTTTTTTTTTCGAGACAGAGTCTTGCTCTGTCACCTAGGCTGGAGAACAGTGGTGCGATCTCAGCTCACTGCAACCTCTGCCTCCTAGGTTTGAACGATTCTCCTGCCTCAGCCTCCCGAGTACCTGGGATTACATGTGCACACTACCACACCTGGCTAATTTTTGTATTTTTAGTAGAGACGGGGTTTAACCATGTTGGCCAGGCTGGTCTTGAATTCCTGACTTCAGGTGATCACCTGTCTCAGCTTCCCAAACTGCTGGGATTATAGGCGTGAGTCACCGTGCCCAGCCCAAAGTTACTATTTAAAGGTAATTTATTATTGAAGAAAAAACATTTTTATAAATTTAGTGTAGCCTAAGTATACAGTGTTGATAGTCTAGAGTGGTGTACAGTAATGTCCTCGGCCTTCACACTCACCCACCCCACCCTCACTGATGCACTCAGAGCAAATTTCAGTCCTGCAGGCTCCATTCATGGTCAGTGCTCTATATAGCTGCACCATTTTAATCTTCTTTTTTAGACTGAATGTCACTCTGTTGCCCAGGCTGGAGTGCAGTGACGTGATCTTGACTCACTGCAACCTCTGCCTCCGTGGTTCAAGTGATTCTCCTGACTCAGCCTCCCTAGTAGCTGGGATTACAGGTGCCTGCTGCCTCGCCAGGCTAATTTTTGTATTTTTAGTAGAGACAGGGTTTCACCATGTTGGCCAGGCTGAACTCAAACTCCTGACCTCAACTGATCCACCCACCTTGACCTCCCAAAGTGCTGGGATTACAGGCGTGAGCCACCATGCCCGGCCCATTTTTATCTTTTATACCATATTTTTACTGCACCTTTTAATGTATAGATGATACACAGATACTTAACCTTGTGTTACAATTGCCTGTAGCATTCAGCACAGTAACTTGTAGGACAGATTTGTAGCCTAGGCACAATGGGCTTTACCATCCAGCCCAGGTGTGTGGCGGGCTGTCCCATCTGGGGGTGCGTAAGTGCACCCGTGATGTTTGCACAGTGACAGGATCACCTAATGAGGAATTACTCAGAATGTACCCCTACCATTAAGCAATGCAACTGTACTACTCTTAGGATTAAAACTACATGGCTTACCTGTGAATGCTTTAAAAGCTTGCATTTTCTTTTCTGATGCAACCCACAGTTTTTACCTTTTAATTTTAAAGTATGAGGTCAGTTAGACTTCATCCCTATTTAAAACTGAAAAGCTTGATTTAGGGCATTCTTTAGTGTTAATGGAAAAGCCTCACCAGGAGGCGGGCTCCATCTGCTTTTGAACATCCTGGAATAGGGGCAGTCTTTGTTTAATAGAAGCTTCATTTCAGACAAGGAAGAACCGTCACCCTCAGGAGAATTAGATGTCTCAACAGAGGAGGAAATTGAGACCTATCGGAACTGGAAGCTTACCAGATGGCAGCACAGAAAACCCTGGCATTTCTGAAAGAAGCAGGAAGGTGGGGAGAGGAGGGATCCATTTGCGGGCTGTATGGAATGTAATCTTGTCTTAAGCCTCACTAAAAGCTAGACAGGTCATGGAGACAATCAGGCTTTTATTCTTTGAAATAATTCACATTACAGGCTTGTGTATTACTGGCCTTATCAAATAAAAGCCTTTAGACTCATGTGGGCAGATAATTACAAATTGATGTCTGGGCCTCTTGTTTTGGAAATGGCTTTTACACTCCCCTCTTCTTTCTCTCCCTCTTTCATCTCTCTCTTCTTGAGTTAAACTTTCTTGTGATTTTGTTAGGGTTCTGGTAGTGTTAGCTGGCTCTAAGAGTAAATGGCAAAGCTATATGAAGAAGTCACTTTTATTTGAAGTCAAGAATCGAGTTACAAAGTGCAGGAACATTGGTGCAGACAGGGAATTTCATTTAACACTGTATTCAGCCTCAGAAATTATTACAAATCAGAAGTAATAAGTCAGACAACCAAAGACAGCAGCACTGTCCAGGGTCAGTTTCATCTGTCAGGGTTGTTTCTTGCCACAGAACTCTATTTTACTTTACCCAGTGAATCTTAACTTTAAAGACAAAAACCAATGAATAAACACTTTTTGGAAAACATTAGAAATCAACCAAAATCTAGTTAATTTATAACAATTGGGGGAGGGGAAGCTCCTAGAGCTTAGACTAAAAAAACCCAAACAAAATATAAATTCCAATAAATGATATCCTCATATCCCTATTGTTTCTCCAGATCAACAAATATGTGTGATTCTGTATCATATGACTTTGTATATCAAGGGAAGAGTGGATAGTATCAGAAAAATCCCTAGAACCCTCAAGTGTGAAAATGATTAGACATCTTGAATAATACAAAGCAACACAGCTAGATCCACATCAAAAGAGTCATGAAGACCAAGTGGGTTGATCCTGGTGAGTACATTTTGAAAACTGTGAAACACAAATGGAAGCTGTTACATCATCACCAAGTGGGGTGGAATGAAGGCAAGCCTTGGAAACTCCTCCTGCCATGAGGTTCTCAACTCCCCACCCCAGAGCAGAAATGCCCCATCTCTGCATCCTGCTCTTGGCTCAGCAGACCTCCTCCTCCTCTGTCAAAGAGCATCCACATTTTATCTGCTGACTTCTTAAAGAATCAGATGCTCCTTTCCCTGAATATTTTAAAGAGAGTCACATAGTCAACATTCGTCAGAGATGGACATCAGCAAGGCAGCAGGAGAGGACTCTCCATTGCTCATCCATCACAGAAACAACAATTTGAACATCTATCTGTGTGCAAAAATACCTTCACAAGTGCTAAGGAAACCAGGTGAGAGGTGATAGCACCTGGGCATGGCACAGAAATAAGATGCACTGAAAAGGCAGAAAAAACAGTTTTGCATGACTGGGTCCCCTCTCACCCAGGCCTAGCAGCATGTTGTGGTGAGAGATGCCCTCTATGTGGGGGAAGGAAAGAGAAGTGAGTACCAGACTTTGCTTCTAACTCTAAAACTGCCTCCTGATCCCCCACCAACCAAGTTAAACCCAGCACCAGACATGCCCCCATAGCTTCCTACTCCAGGCTGGTACCCAAGGACGGAGGCTTCAGGCCTGCCCCAATACCAGGTAGGATCATGCAGGCCCAGGCCCCACACCTGCCCAGTGGACTTAGTCTCTGGGCCCACTCCGCATACAGGTTGACCCCATTGGCCTCAGGCTCCACATCATCTCTGGCACCAGGCTGGCCCTGCAGCTCCATGGTTAGCAGACAGGACCCAGGCCTATCCTGGTAGGCCCCAGCACTGAACCAGCCCTCACTGACCTGGGCTCCAGGAGTGTCCCTGTGGACTCAGGATCCAGGCTGGTCCCCAGTGCTCCAGGCTCCAGAACTCAGAGTCCAGGCCCACTCCAATAGACCCCTGGTGCCAGCCAGCCCCTTTGGACAGAGGCTCCAAGACCACTTCTGCAGACTTAGGCTCCAGGCCAACCCTTGTGGATCCAGGACCCAGGCTCACCCCCACAAATTCAAGCTCTGGGCCCACCTTAGCCCCAGGACAGCCCCTTCAGACTCAGGTATATGGCCTACCCTAGCACCAGTCCTGCCTTAACGGATGCCAGGCTCTAAGTTCACCCTTGCAGACTCAATCAACAGGTCCACTCCAGTGGATCCAGGCCAAGGCTCACTCACCTGCTAACCCAGGCATTGGACCAGCCTGCGTGAGGACCCCAATAGCAAGCCTACCTATGGAGCATGCCAGATGACGCCCAGAATCTGCATGGGCTTATTGATGAAGGGCTTACCCAGGCGAAGCCATTCTACAAAGAATAGAATAAGTCCCTACTTCCCAAAATGTGCAGACATCAACGTAAGGCAACAACAACAACAACAACAACAAACATGAAAAACCAAGGAGACACAACACCACCAAAAACCACAATAATCTCCCAGCAGCAGACTCCAAAGAAATGGAGATAAACAAATGGCCCGATAATTCAAAGTAAGTGTTTGAAGGAAGTTCATGAACTTCAAGAAAATATAGAAAAACAATTCAATAAAATCAGGAAAACAGTAAATGACTGCAATTAGAAATTCCACAGAGAGGTATAAATTATTTTTTAAAAATTCTAGAAACTCTGGATGTGGAAAACACAATAAATGAAATGAAAAATGCAGTAGAGAGTGTCAACTGCAGAATTGATGAAACAGAATCCGTGAACTTAAAGACAGGTTATTTGAAAACATACAGTCAGAGGAGAAAAAGAGTAAACGGGAATGAAGAAAGCTTATGGGATTTGTGAGATAACACCAAAAGATCAAATATTTGAGTTACAGGTATTCAAGAAGGAGAAGAGAGACCAAGGGACTGAAAGCATATTTAAATAATATGAGAAAACATTCCAATTCTGGGGAAATATATAAATATCTAGGTACAGGAAGATCAAAAGTCTCCGATTAGATTGAATCCAAATAAGACTATACTGAGATATATTATAATCAAACTGTCAAAAATCAAAGACAAAGAGGATCTTAAAAGCAGTGAGAGAAAAGAAGCAAATCACATATAAAGGAGTTACAGGAAGGTTTATAGCAGACTTCTCAGCAGAAACCCTATAGGCAAGAGAGAGTAGAATGATATATTCAAGGTGCTGAAGGAAAAAAATGGCCAACCAAGAATACTGTACTTGGCAAAGCTGTTCTTCAGAAATGAAGGAGAGGAAAAGACCTTCCTAGCCAACCAAAAGCTGAGGGATTAATCACCACCAGAGCTGTCCTACAAGAAATTCTAAAGAGAGTTCTTCAAGCTGAAAGAAAAGAATGCTAACTAGCAACATGAAAACATACAAAAGTATAGAACTCACTGATAAAAATAAGTATACAGTCAAATTCAGAATAATACTGTAATGGTGGTGTACAAATCACTTAAGTCTTTAGCATGAAGGTAAAAAGAGAAAACTATCACAGTGATAGCTATGAAATTTCTTAAATAATAGCTACAACAAAAAGATATGAATTGTGACATTAAAGTTTATGCGTGGGGTGGGTGGAGTAAATGTGTAGAGATTTTAAAAATGTGATCAAAGTTAAGCTGTTACCAACTTAGAAAAGCTTGCTATAACTGTAAGATATTTTTATGTAAGCCTCATGGTAACTACAAAGCAAAAACCTTAGTAGATATGCCAAAGATAGAAAGTAAGGAATCAAAGCATATCACTAGAGAAAATCACCCAATCATAAGGGAAGACAGACACAGAGGATGAAAGGAAAAAGGACTTAGAAAATACCAGAAAACAATGAACAAAATGGCATTAGTAAGACCCTGCCTGTCAATAATTACTGTGAATGTAAATGGATTACATTTTCTAATCAAAAGACAGAGTGGCTGAATGGCTGAAAAATAGGACCCAACTATATGCTACCTACAAGAGATTCCCTTCACTTTTAAGGACATAGACTGAAAGCGAAGGGATGAAAAAGATATTTCATGCAAATGAAGACCAAAAGAGAGTAGAAGTGCTATACTTAAATAAAATAGACTTCATGTCATAAACTGTAAAATAAAGTCATTATACAGTGATAAAGGGGTCAATTCATCAAGAAGATATAATAATTATAAATATGGGCTAAAAACTGGAGAACCTAAGTATGTAAAGCAAATATTAATATGTCTGAAGAAAGAGAGATGGACTGTAATGTAGCAGTAGGGGACTTCAATACCCACTTTCGGCAATGGACAGATCATTCAGACAGAAAATCAATAAGGAAACATCAGTCTTAAACTATACTTTTAGACCAAATGGACATAACAGATATATACAGAATATACCATATAATGGTAGCAAATACACATTCTTCTGAAACACAGAGAACATTCTCCAGGATAGATCACATTATGCCACAAAACACATTAATAAATTTAAGAAGATTCAAATCACATTAAGCATCTTTTCTGAACATCCTGGTATGAGACTAGAAATTAATAACAGGAGGAATTTCAGAAAATTGACAAATATATGGAAATTGAACAACATGCTTCTGAACCACCAATATGTCAAAGAAGAAATTAAAAAGAGAATTAAAAGATCTCTTGAGATAAATAAAAATAAAAACAAAGCATACCAAAACCTATGGGATGCAGCAGAAGCAGGTCTAAGAGGGATGTTTATAGTGATAAATGCCTACATCAGAAAAGAAGAAAGAATCCAAATAAACAACCTAATATTACACCTCAAGGTACTATAAAAAGAACTAACTAAGCCTAAATCTAATAGGAAAGAAATAATAAAGATCAGAACAGAAAGAGATTACATCGAAACTAGAAAAACAATAGAAAAGATCAATGGAACTAAGAGTTTGTTTGTTGAAATGATAAACAAAATTGAAAACCTTTAGACTAAGAAAAAAGAGAAAAGTCAAGTGGAATGAGAAATGAAGGAGGAAACATTACAACAAATACCACAGAAATGTAAGGGACCATGAGACTATGAACAATTATATGCCAAAAATTGGATAACCCAGAAGAAATGGAAAATCCCTAAGCATATGATACCTACCAAGAAAAATTATGGAGAAACAGAAAATCTGAACAGACCAATAACAAATATGGAGATTTGATTAGTAATAAAAAGTCTCCCATAAAAAGAGTTCAGGACCTGATGGCTTTACTGCTGATCTTACCTAACATTTAAAGAAGGACTAATACTCATCCTTCTCAAACTCTTCCAAAAAACTGAAGAAGAGGAATACTTCCACACTCATTTTACGAGGTCAGCACTACCGTGATACCAAAGCTGACAAAGGCACTATAAGAAAAGAAAATTACAGGCCAAAATCCCTGATGAACATAGATGCAAAAACCCTCGAAAGAATACCAGCAGACTGAATTCAACAGCTCATGAAAAGGATCATTCACCACGATCAACTGGGATTTATCCCTGGTATGCAAGGATGGTTCAATATATGCAACTCTATTAATGTGATATGCCACATTGAGGGAAGGATAAAAACCATATATCATCTCATTAGATGTATAAAAAACATACAACAAAACACAACATCCTCTCATAATAAAAACACTCAATAAATTAGATATACTGTAGAAGGGATGTGCTTCAACATAATAAAGACCATATATGACAAACTCACAGATAACATCATACGCAATGGTGAAAAGCTGAAAGCTTTTCCTCTAAGATCAGGAACCAGATAAGGATGCTAACTCTCGCCACTTCTTTCAACACTGTATTGCAAAACCTAGCCAGGGCAATTAGGCAAAAGGAAGAAACAAAAGGCATCCAAATTGGAACAAAAGAAGTTAAAATTGTCCCTGTTTGCAGATGACATGATCTTACATATAGAATCCTAAAGATGCCACCAAAAACACTGTTAGAGCTAATAAATTCAGTAAATTTGCAGGATACAAAATCCACAGACAAAAATAAAGAGCATTTTTATACACTGAGAATGAACTGTCTGAAAAAGAAATCAGATAATAATCCCATTTATAGTAGCTCAAAAAATATAAAATACTTAGGACTCCATTTGCCCAGGGAGCCTGGAGAACATGTGAGAGCTGGAGGGCATGTTTCCCGATGGCTGTTGATAAATGTTCATTCTCGTGGTCTGCCCTGCTGCTTGTTAATCCCAACACCAGGAATTGGTTGTGTTTAGCTTGCTGCATAGCAGACACCTCTGTGTGGCTGGATCCAACCTCAGAGGTGTGTGGAGCTCTCTCTGTGAAACCTTTGGTGTCCTCTGAGGGGTGTGGACACAGGTATAGAGCATCTCTACTTCCCTAGCTCAGAGGCGAATGGGGTTGTCACCTGTCTCCCTAACCCAAGGACTGAGGTTTTGCCGGAGTTAGCCGGTGTAGCTGACATAGACAGCCCGCGCTCTACGCTGTTCCACTCCTCATTCCACCCTGATCAGACAAGGTTGAGAGCATAAGGGCTCTTCACACCTGGCCTCTTACAGCAGCATGCTCTGTGGTGTGGGAATGGCAGGCCTGATGAGGAGAAGCTGTGGAGGCAGGGCTGGGACACAGGATGCTGGTGTCAGAGGAGGGGGCTCAGCTGCCTGCTGTACCCAGGCAAGAGCAGGTCCAGCCTCCTGGGGCCCGCCTGCAGGAGCAGCATGGATGGAGGAGGACCTGAGCGCTCAGCTCTGCTTGTGCTGGGGTTGGGCGGGAGAGTTGAAGCCGGCGTGGGCACATCCCTGTCCTTCTGAGGAGAGTGGCTATTGTCATTTGCTGGTCTCTCCTGCAGCCTTGCATTAGTTAGCAATGCTTGGCCTTTGGAATGTCTTGTTCACCAGGAGTCCTGGCACCTTCTCCTGTCCCTACATAGCACAGGATCCCCCAGACCACTCTTTTGTTTGGCCCATGGGACCGCGAGTGCCCTTTTCTTCCCACACATTCTGGGCAGGAGCGCAGTGAAGGTCATTTCACAATGGCAGGATACATTTGCAGCATGGCCCAAAGCCTGGGCACGTCAGAAATATTGTATGTTTTCCACTGAGAGCAACAGCAAGACAGATGCAGGGAGAAAAACAAAACAAAAAACAAACAAAAGCTCCCAGGGAATTACTGAGATGACGAGCGTGATGAGGAGGGTTCCTGTCATCCTTTTTGTACCCAGTGGAGGATAACGTCAGCATATGGGCACAGCCGGGCTCGTGGGGGCACAGGCAGACTGCTCACCCTATGCAATCTAGGCAGGCGGCGTGTGCCAGCCAGGCCAGGCATATTGAGGCACTGCTGCTTTAAAAGTCCAGCTCAACGAGCTCAGGCAGCATGTGGTAGATACACATATGTAGTAGAAGTTCCAAAATTATTGGTGATAGTACATTCATCGCCTGCACCTGCTCACTCCATTGGATGCGGGCAGAGGAGCTGGGTGGGAATGCCTTCCTGCGGGAGGTGTGGGTAGAGGGGACAGAGGTGGGATGGCAGGGAGGGTCAGGAATAAGCGGAGTCCGTACGCCAAACTATGGAGTGGGACAGGAAGGGGCACCTGAGAGCCTCCTAAATTCTCATTAGGAAGTTCAGAAAGAGTCCATAATTTCTGTCAAAACCACCGACAGTGGCTCTGCCTGAGCTCAAATTCTCACTCTTCCTATTACCAGAGTGGCACTGGGCAAGGGTTTGCAGAGTGGATCTCTGTCTCAGCTTTAGTACCTGTGAAATGGGTGTGTCCCAGCAGCACTTACTCATAGAGCATCAAGAGGGCCAAGTGCATTCATGTACACTGACTCGGAGAGTGCCTGGCACACACACAGTGCCCAGTGCCCGGCTGACTTGGAGAGTGCCCAGCCCACAACAGTGCCCAGTGCCTGGCTGACTCGGAGAGTTCCTGGCACACAACAGTGCCCAGTGCCCACCAGCTGTTTGTCTGGATTCTCTCTAAATGTAGGACGCTGCCAATACTGAGTCTTGTGAGTCCGGTGCACACTTGGATTGCACCTGTGCACGACACACATTGGACACAAAAACACACAGGCAAACAAGTGTGTGTGTAAACGCGCTTGAGAGAATTGAAGAGCATCAGTCCATGTTGGAAAATCCAACGACATCGAATATAGCTATGAACATGTCTTTCAGGCGTTCTTAAACGTGTGATTGATTAACGTGTGATCTGATCTTGATGCCCGAACCCTGGAAATGTTTTAGGAGCAGGACACAGCCCTCCTGAGGAAAAGGCTCCTACGCTGGCTGCCTTTGGGTTTGCTTCTCTGTGAGGTGGCGATTCTGAACGACGTGGTGATTCTAGGTCTGTGCTCACAGTGTGTTCTGAGACATGCTGTCACCCCTCTGCATTTCTGGTGCTCAGGAGGCCATTAGGGAGGGGCTGGTGGCTTTGAGTGGCCTGAGGAGTGGTGGTGGCCTGTCTCTGTGGCTGCCACGGCACTGCTGATCACCTGCATGGGCGTGTCCACTAGGGCTGCGGGTGGGGTGAGGTCCGGTCATTATGCCATTGGCGGCCAACACCGTTGATGATTAAAGCTTCCATCAGGGTGCCGTGGACATGCTGTGACCCCGGCGGGTGGCCACAGCAAGGTCCCTATGTCCTTGTCACCTGCATGCCATTCCCTCCACCATGGGCAGCTGCAGACTCCACGACGTGGCCAGTCAGAGCTCCCGTCCCTGCGGCAAGCCCCTGGTTCTACTGAGAAGCCTGGTTACCCTCTCAGTGGTGGTCTCAGTGGTTTTGCTCTGTCTCCTGCCCCGTCTTGGCTACAAGAGGCTGGGCTCTGGGACGGATGGCAGACGGTGTGAACTGCAGACGGGGCCTGCTCGGTCACTGCTCCCTCTCCTCTTGGGGGTCTGGGGAGCTGCCTGAGGCTCACAGCCTCGGTTCATTTCCCACATAGGAGTTTGTTTACCTGTGACGGCTGCCGCCTGACTGAAGTACTTGCTTGGTTTTCTTATTGTGGCGAATACAAAAGCATGGCATGAACGTAACAAGAAGTGTTTTTTTTCATGCGTGTTGTCGAATGCGTCTTCCCCTGACATCAGCGCTACCTTTCCTCAGTTCTCTTCTCTCAAGAGTGTTTTCCTCCTGAGAGCTGAGGCCCCTGCATGTGGGAGCACGAGGAGGGATCAGCCATCTGTGTCCGGCTGCTGTGCGTGTGGGAGCATGAGGAGGGACGAGCCGTCTATGTCCTGCTGCTGCGTGGGAGCACGAGGAGGGACCACCGTCTATATCCCGCTGCTGTGTGGGAGCATGAGGAGGGATGAGCCCTCTGTGTCCCGCTGCTGTGTGTGGGAGCACAGGGAGGGACAAGCCATCTGTGTCCGGCTGCTGTGTGTGTGGGAGCACGAGGAGGGATCAGCTGTCTGTCCGGCTGCTGTGTGTGGGAGCACGAGGAGGGATGAGCCGTCTGTGTCTGGCTGCTGCATGTGGGAGCACGAGGAGGGATCAGCCGTCTGTCCGGCTGCTGTGTGTGGAGCACCAGGAGGGACGAGCCGTTTGTGTCTCGCTGCTGTGTGTGGGAGCACAAGGAGGGATCAGCCGTCTGTCCTGCTGCTGTGCTCACTTCAGCAGTGCTGTCTCCTTCAGAACTCAACATGCCCTGCAGAGTAAGTATGGCTGCCACAGCTCACAAACTCAGCCGCAGCCTCGACCCCGCTGCTCTGCCCGCGGCTTCCTGGCTGTGGACATCTGAGCCAGGCCAGACTCCTGATCTGCGTCTCCTAGACCCACACACCTCTGACGCATGGCCCCGCAGTACTTCTACATTCACTGGCAAGTTCCCACATTGTGTAGTCAAAGACAGTTGCTTCATTATAGAGTTTAACAATAAAATACTCTTTTTTCATCTTACTTTTGATAAGCTACTTTCCCAAGACAGACGGAAAAGACCAGTTACTCAATTGTTGGTTTTTATATCTTGGGTTTACTATGCTGAGTGACGATTTGTCTGAAAATAGAAAGGAAAAAAAAAAAAAAAGGCAGAGCCACTCCTGAGACAGTTGGGTTCTTAGCGGCAAAGGACCCTGTTAACACAGGCTCAGTTTGACTTGAGTTCAGGGCTTCTCAGGAGAGGATCCTGAGGCCTGACTGTCCCTTCTGGGAACACAGTGTTCTCTAACCCTAGACAGGAGGCCAGGTCTCTTAAGAGGCAGATTTCCATGCGACCCAAAATGTCTGGGAGACGATGGCTGGGCTTTGAGCTGGGAGCCTCTGGAAGGAGAAATGGCTTTTGACCCTGTAAATCCTGCTCCTCTGGTGACCAAAGTGAGTTATGCGGGGCTCAGAGTAGCTGAGACTGTTCACACCTCAAAAGAACTAGCAGGGTTTATTCTGGCTTTACCCATGGTTGACTCAGACCTTTGTCAAGAAACTTCCTTTCTAGGAGCATGGATGGGGATTTTGGGCTCTCCTGGCTCCTGGACTCCTTGGGGTTTGGGGCGTGGCAGGAGGTGGGTGCAAAGCCAGCACCAATGCAAAGGGCCCCAGGCATGCCACACACCTGAGCGTTTGCACGGGACGTGGCAGGAGGGGGGTGCAAAGCCAGCACAAATGCGCAGGGCACCACGCACACCACACACCCGAGCATTTCCATGCACCTCTGTGCTCTTAGCCAGTCTGGATCTGTGTCTTCATAGCAGACTGTGGGCATATGACAATGTCTCTTATACTGTAAAGTTACATGCAAATGGCTGTGCCCATCCGCTTGGATTTTGGTGACTATGTTCTTGATGAAAACACACAAAGCATGCACTCCTGGTATTCCTATTTGCCTTTGTTATTTAGGAGTATGTGTATGACTCTACTACTGTTTTATATGCTTTTAAACCATACACAAAATGTATTTGCTTATTTTCATTTTTATTTTTTGAGACGGAGTCTTGCTCTGTCACCCAGACTGGAGTGCAGTGGCATGATCCCAGCTCATTGCAACCTCTGCCTCCCCGGTTCAAGTGATTCTCCTGCCTCACTCTCCCAAGCAGCTGGGATTATAAGCGCGGCTAACTTTTGTATTTTTAGTAGAGGTGGGGTTCACTATGTTGATCAGGCTGGTCTTGAACTCCTGATCTCAAGAGATCTGCCCGACTCGGCCTCCCAAAGTGGTGGGATTAGAGGCGTGAGCCACTGCGCCCAGCCCTCAAGATTTAAATGGAAGCTGTGATGACGAGCACATGGCTTTGAGCCTGCACCACCTCTTTAGACTCTCGCTAGCCTATGTTTCCAGAGCACCGTGTAGCCGTGGGCCGGCGCAGGGCCTGGCGCCTGTTCACAGCGTGCTGGTTCTGGGCACAGCTGCCGTGAGGCCTCCCCTCCCGCTTTCCATCTTTGTCATTTCAGTCTCGGGAGACCTTCTATTTCTCTACTTTAGACAGTTGAGCTCTCTCTGCAAACAACACTTCCATTGTTCAACATTTGGGAAAATTTTAAAATTGATAACACGTTCCTCAGCAAAAAAGGGGTTTAATGACGGTGGAGAAACTCCACGGCCGCGTCTCTACGCAGTGTCGGGCCGCACCCGTCCGGCTCCCCCAGGCTCTCTCGGCTCCTCCTTTCATCTCCTGGTTCTCTCTCCATCTGCCCTCTCCACCCGGTATCTCAGGGCTGCTATGAAAGGTCTTCAAAGACCTAGTTTCAAAAAACATCCCCTGGAGAGGACCAATTAAACGCAGAAGGATGGTTTGTGTGCAGAGGCTGAGCCGTCAGAGTAGAGATGATCCTGCGTTCCCAGGTAGAGCCGCGGCTCCTGCCCTCGTCGCTGTCCCTCCCTGCCGGTGTCAGACCAAAGCCAGCGTCCTTACCGACCCCCAGGCAGGCTCTGCCGGCCTCCCCTAGGCAGCCATGGCCCCCGACGGGGTTAGCCACCTTCTCATGGCTGCTGCCTCTCTTCGCAGCTTCAGGCCGGAGAGGACCTGCTTTCCGATTGGGCCCGGGAAAACCAGATGTGCTTGAAGGCTGTGGATTTAGGATTTGGTGTTCCAGATATGGAAGGGACACAATTCATATTATGCGGTCTGTGAAACAATGATTTGACAGGCCAGTTAAAGCATTAGACGAGTTTAAACTGCTTGAGAGCAAACTGCTGTGTCTTGGTGCAGTTTGGGGGCAGCGGTGGGGCGTGGGGGCCGCCGCGGGGCTCTGTGGGTTCGGGGGCAGCGGTGGGGCGTGGGGGCCGTCCGGGGCTCTGGATTAAGTGCACAGACCTCGACTGTCTTCACGGAACTAAGGAGACCTTTATTTTACCTGGCACACCGTGGGGTCAAGTCCACATTGAGAGGTGATAACGTGCTAGCAGCCCTCGCTCACTCTGGGCGCCTTCTCTGCCTCGGTGTCTGCTCTGGCCGGGCTCGAAGAGCCCCTCAGCCCGCTGCTGCACTGTGGGGGCCCCTCTCTGGGGCTTGCTGAGGCCGGAGCCGGCTCCCTCTGCTTGCGGGGAGGTGTGGAGGGAGAAGCGCGGATGGGAGCCGGGGCTGCACACGGGGCTTGTGGGCCGGCGCAGGTTCCGGGTGGGCACGGGCTTAGCGGGCCTGGCACTCCGTGGGACTGGCCGGCACCTGCTGGGCTTGATTGGAGGCTGGATCCCGTGAGAGGACTGCCATTCCCTCTTCCCTGGGTCGTTGGCCATGATGGTGGGTCTCTGTCTCTTTCTCGCTTCCCCTCTTTTTCTCTTGGTTGTCTGGGACGAGCTCCCATTGGGCTGCCTGGAGTGCCCGGGCTAGGGGCCACAAAGTCCTGCAGCGAGTACCAGTGAGAGGTGAAGCTGGCTGGGCTGCTGGGAGGGTGGGGACTTGGAGAAGTTTTCTGTCTAGCTAAAGGATTGTAAATGCACCCATCAGTGCTCTGTGTCTAGCTAAAGGATTGTAAATGCACAAATCAGCACTCTGTGTCTAGCTAAAGGTTTGTAAATGCACCAACCAGCACTCTGTCAAAACGGACCAGTTAGCCTCTGTAAAATGGACCAATCAACTCTCTGTAAAATGGACCAATCAGCAGGATGTAGGTGCGGCCAGATATGGGGATAAAAGCAGGCTGCCAGAGCCAGCAGCAGCAAACCGGTTGGGTCCCATTCCACAGTGTGGAGGGTTTGTTTTTTTGCTGTTCACAGTAAGTTTTGCTGGTGCTCACTCTTTGGGTCCTCACTACGTCTGTGAGCTGTAACACTCACCTCGAAGGTCTGCAGCTTCACTCCTGAGGCCAGTGAGACCACAAATCCACCACGAGGAATGAACAACTCCGGATATGCTACCTTTATGAGCTGTAACACTCACTGTGAGGGTCTTCAGCTTCACTCTTGAAGCCATAGAGACCACGAACCCACTGGGAGGAATGAACAATTCTGGATGCGCTGTGTTTATGAGCTGTGACACCCACTGCAAAGGTCTGCAGCTTCACTCCTGAAGTCAGGGAGACCATGAACCCACCGGAAGAAAGAAACTCTGGACACACCTGAAGGAACAAACTCTGGACACACCATCTTTAAAAACTGTAACACTCACCGCGAGGGTCCGCGGCTTCATTCTTGAAGTCAGCGAGACCAAGAACCCACCAATTCCGGACACAACATGTCCATCTACATCAGGAAGTTGTGGGTTCTGGGCTTATTGGTTTGTATTGATTGTTGGTTTCGAGAGAGAATTTCAGTTTGTTGCCCAAATGGTGCGATCTCAGCTCACTGCTACCGGTTCGAGCAATTCTCCTGCTGCAGCCTCCCACGTAGCTGGGATTACAGGCGCCCACCTTCACCCGCAGCCTCCCGCGTAGCTGGGATTACAGGTGCCCACCTTCACGTCCAGCTGAATTTTTTTTTTTTTTTGTATTTTAGTAGAGACGGGGTTTCATCATGTTGCACAGGCTGGTCTTGGGATTTGACCTTGTTTCCTCCTCCCTGGGGTCAGAGGTCCCCTGGCAGGTGGTGGGTGGTCCCTGCATTCGATTCCCATTTCCCTGTCCACTGGGAAGTGTATTCTGGAAGGAAGTTCCTACATCCTTCTGGCTCTAGGAATGTTCTAGACATGTTACGTGCTGAGGCTGGTGGGGCAGGCTCAGGCCTCCTGCAGACGCCTGTTTTCTCATAGGAGCCATACTTGGTCCCCGGCCACCCCGGGCCTTGGATCTGATGATTCTCTGGGTGTGTCAGACAAGGACCTGGCCTCCCTGTTATGTGCTGGAGGTCAGGGAGGTCAGGAGCAGGGCTGGCACCTCTAACTCCCATCCCCCCCTTGTGTGCCTGGTGGTCCTGCCCGGCTGAGAGCCTTTCTCTTAGACTCTGCCGCAGCCGTGATGCCAGACAGGAGAAGCCAGGGAGGGCATGGGCTGCTCCCTGAAGGCGGATTCCTCTCCCCAGGTGGGAGGAGGAGCCTCTGTAGCTGCCCTGGGCTGCTCCTCTTTCCCAGGGTGGCCTGACCACAACCCCGGCCGGGCAAGGGAGTAGGGAGGACCGTACAGAGTTTCTCTTCCCCAGCTCATTGTTTTGGAGACAGACTTGGAGGCAAGGCCAGAGCTATATGTCCCAGCCCCTGCGTGTGCACCTCGTGCAGCAGTGTGGCAAGGCCCTGACAGTGCCTTCAAGGGGTGCTTCTGGCAGGCCTCGGGAGCTGTGTGATGAGGAGGAGACTTGGGAGAGCGCGGGTTAGGTCCTGGCACTGTAGCCGCCTCCTCTTGCTGATTTCAGGGGTCAGTGTTTTCAGGGTTCATCTCCTTTATAGGGCAGACTTGAGGGCTTCAGGTACAAACGTCCGTGTCTCCATCAGGCCTGGGCCCGGCCTCCTCCGTCTGGAGCACATTCCTCTGTGGTCTTCAGCATTGGTGCCCGTGGAGTGGCTGAAGCCCTGACTGCCCGTTGTGGCTGAGGTGTGGGACCGAATGGCGAACAGAGTGGGCAGGACCCCGAGGAGGCTGGAGGCCGATTCGCACAGGCTGCCGTCATCTCACCGCTCTGACAGTTCTTAAAGCAACAGTGCAAGAGAAATCCACTGCGACGTGAGAAGAGCATGTTTATGTGCACGTGTATGTGCGCGTGTGTGCGTGTGCGGGCACGTGTGTGTGTGTGTGCACGTGTGTGAGAGGATGGCTTCTGACGAAGGGGCTGTTCATGGAGCTCTGATCAGCCACTCTTGCCCGTGGGGATCTTGCAGGGTCCGACCAGTCAGTGCCCCCCACCCCACCCTGTTAGAGGGGACGGAGCCCGGTCCTCACCCCGCTGTGGGCTGCCTGAGAGTTTGGCTTCTCCCTCCAGAGCTGATAGACAGCACCTGAGCATATGGCCCCCTCGGCCCCAGCTCACAGTGGCATGCCTCGCACCCTCCGCCCCTGCCTCCACTACGAGGAGGCCGCCCGCACACCTGGGGAGGCATATCCTGCCAGCTGAGCGTCCCCAGGCCGACGTCCTTCCCAGCCATGGCATCAGGGCCCCGCAGCAGCTGGTGTCATAGCACCCACATCCATCAGCTTCCCTGGAGCCCCTGGCACAGTGCTGTGTGGGCCTGGAAACGCTGGAAGCATGGTTTCATCCCTCAGGAAGCTGGTGGTTAATAAATGGGGCCAAGTTAATAAAGAAGGAAGCTACCAACAAGGCCATGCGGTCACCACGACTGCCCAGGGCCAGGGTGTGGGGGTGCTGCCTTACAGCCTGTCGGGGCCGGGGTGTGGGGGTGCTGCCTTACAGCCTGTCGGGGCCGGGGTGTGGGGGTGATACATTACAGCCTGTTGGGGCCGGGGTGTGGGGGTGCTGCCTTACAGCCTGTCGGGGCCGGGGTGTGGGGGGTGATACAGCCTGTTGGGGCCGGGGTGTGGGGGTGCTGCCTTACAGCCTGTCGGGGCCGGGGTGCGGGGGTGATACATTACAGCCTGTCGGGGCCGGGGTGTGGGGGTGCTGCCTTACAGCCTGTTGGGGCCAGAGTGTGGGGGTGCTACCAGGACCGGGATGTGGGGGTGCTACCTTACAGCCTGCCGGGGCCAGGGCAGGAGCTGTGCTTCAAGGGCAGAGAGGCTTTCCAGGTGGACAAGGGACGAACACTTGGGGAGGGAGGGAAGGTTCAGATGGAAGAGGAAGCTGAGAGGAGACGCACCCCTGGAGGCAGCTGGCTGACCGGTGGGCTCCCAGGAGACTGTAGGATTTGTGCAGATAAAAGTCAGGCAGCAGAGTCAGAGGGCAGCCATAGCACGTGTAAGGCGGCGGGGATGCTGACAGCAAGACGTTTTCTGGAGAATCTGGGTTTTACTGCAAATACAAATTCACTGTTCTCAGGATGGCGGAGGGACCAGCTCCTTGGGAAGGTCACCCCCTTGGCCACCTGTTGTCCCTGAGGGGCTGATGGAGGGAGGAGGCCACCTTATGAACTGCACCAGGTCCGTGGCTTTGGCGGTGGAGGCCCCATCACTGCAACTCTTCTTCTGGGAGTTCGGCTCTGCCTGCCACACGTGGAGGTGCGCAGGGTGGGGGCCAGCCCTGGCAAACCCACCCCACATAACGTAGTACCTCGATTCTCACCAAAGAACAAAAATTACTTGCGATTACGTGCAATTAGCAATTTTAAATTATTAATGGTGGTGAAAGAATGTGTCTATTCAACAAGTAATTTATTGCAATTTTTGTAATTGAAAGTAATTTCTAGCAATTAAATCCTAATTTAGAGCATTTTCTGGGCGACGCCTTTATTCATGGGGTGCACGCCAGTTTTATTGTTGGCTGCTTTGTTCCAGGCACTTTGTCCAGTAAAATTTGCTGGGTAGGCTCTTTGGGAAGAGAAAAATAGCCGAACTCTAGGCAATGTAGAAAAAACAGAGTGGGTCTGCCAGCACAGTGAAGCTGTGGCTTCCCTGGAGAGGCGTGAGGAGGTGCGCGCCTTCCCATGGAGACAGCCCTGCAGCTTGTTCAGAGGCCCTCCGAGGAAGTGGGCAGGCACCTGGGCCAACGTCCAGGGAGCACGTCTCTGTGGCCCCGAGGCGCTGTCCCCACTGTCCCCACAGCCACGGTGCTGTCCCTGCTGGAGGCTGGTCCAGGCTTGGCCACTGGCTTGAGCTCTTCCCCGGGGCTCCTCGGCACTGCTGCCGGCCCCTGGGGACTTCATTGTTCTGTCTCCTCTTTCCTGGTAAGAACACCCTTTACCCTCAGAAGGCAGCTTTTTGAACCCCACAATCAGAAAGTGCTCCCTATTTTGGGGGGAGACAGGACTCTGCTACGCCCCAGGAGTTGATCTGTGGTGGATTTGAATATAAAAGGCAGCCAGGAGATGGTCTTTGTCGAGATCTTATCCCTGATGAAGTCTCTTCTTTGTCAAGTAGCAAATAAATATTCGGAATGAATTCTTCAGAAACAAAATGACCTGTGTTTCTATGTGAAATGCAACCACGTTCTCCTCCAGAAAGCTGCAGTCAGGCTCCCTGTGTGTGGCCACAGCGTGATTCCTGGTCATGGGGTGACTCCCCCCGTAGGGTACCTGAGCCCCTCTGGGCCCCACACCTCAAATGCAGATGCAGTAATGTCGTCCCAGGCAGCAGGAAGCCACGCGGCCCCTCCACACATTTCCACAGCGTTCCCAGGAAGGCTGCTGACAAGCTGGGCCGAGCGCCTCGGGCTCGTCCACACACGCTAGATCCCGGAGTGTGAGGGTGTCTGTGGCTCCCCCTGTGCCTGCGGCTCCCCCGTGCCTGTGGCTCCCCCTGTGCCTGCGGCTCCTCGTGTGTCTCCTCCTGTGTCTGCGGCTCCCCGTGTCTGCGGCTCCTCCCATGTCTGTCTGCGGCTCCCCCTGTGCCTGTGGCTCCCCCTGTGCCTGCGGCTCCCCCTGTGTCTGCGGCTCCCCCTGTGTCTGTGGCTCTCCCGCGTCTGCGGCTCCCCCTGTGGCTGCGGCTCCTTGTGTGTCTCCTCCTGTGTCTGCGTCTCCCCCTGTGTCTGCGGCTCCCCGTGTCTGCGGCTCCCGTGTCTGTGGCTCCTCCCATGTCTGTCTGCGGCTCCCCCTGTGTCTGCGGCTCCTCGTGTGTCTCCTCCTGTGTCTGCGGCTCCCCCTGTGTCTGCGGCTCCCTGTGTCTGCGGCTCCCCGTGTCTGCGGCTCCTCCCATGTCTGTCTGCAGCTCCCCCTGTGTCTGCGGCTCCCCCTGTGCCTGCGGCTCCTCGTGTGTCTCCTCCTGTGTCTGCGGCTCCCCCTGTGTCTGCGGCTCCCTGTGTCTGCGGCTCCCTGTGTCTGCGGCTCCTCCCATGTCTGTCTGCAGCTCCCCCTGTGTCTGCGGCTCCCCCTGTGTCTGCGGCTCCTCCCGCGTCTGTCTGCGGCTCCTCCTGCGTCTGCGGCTCCTCGTGTGTCTCCTCCTGTGTCTGCGGCTCCCCCTGTGTCTGCGGCTCCCCCATGCCTGCGGCTCCCCCTGTGTCTGCGGCTCCCCGTGTCTGCGGCTCCTCCCATGTCTGTCTGTGGCTCCCCCTGTGTCTGCGGCTCCTTGTGTGTCTCCTCCTGTGTCTGCAGCTCCCCCTGTGTCTGCGGCTCCCTGTGTCTGCGGCTCCTCCCGTGTCTGCGGCTCCTCCCATGTCTGTCTGCGGCTCCCCCATGCCTGCGGCTCCCCGTGTCTGCGGCTCCTCCCATGTCTGTCTGCGGCTCCCCCTGTGCCTGCGGCTCCCCCTGTGTCTGCGGCTCCCCGTGTCTGCGGCTCCTCCCATGTCTGTCTGCGGCTCCCCCTGTGCCTGCGGCTCCCCCTGTGCCTGCGGCTCCCCCTGCGTCTGCGGCTCCTCCCGCGTCTGTCTGCGGCTCCTCCCGCGTCTGTCTGCGGCTCCTCCCGTGTCTGCATCCACGACGCTGGGACAGGGCTGCAGGCAGTGCTTCTGCCCTTGGTTCTGCATCTCCTGGCCTCCCCAGCAGGCAAGGAGCTCACAGTGTGGGCTTGCGGTGGGTGCTCACTGGCCATAAACGTTCGGTGTCATTTTCAAGACAGAGAAACAGCACACGCAGGGCCCTGGAGAGGCTGCCTGGAGCTCCACGTGCCCTGTCCTAGGAGGGTTCCTCCCCTGCGAGCTCACTCCCGAAGGGCACTCGAATCCTGCAGCTGGGGCCTGAGTCCTCTCTCCCCTTCGTCCCACAGCCCTGGGTCTTGTCTTCCTTGTGGCTGGAGTTGCAGCTACAGCACAGAGCTCTTCCCCTTTACATTCTGAGCTGTTTGGAGGCCCATGGCCACTTTCATATTCCCTGATGCTCAATAAATGATGAATGAGTGAAACGAGAGTCCCAAACCGTGGGACTGTCAGCAGAGTCTGCATGCACCGGGCTGGGGGGCAACACAGCCAAGCCCCATCAGCTATTGACTGTAGCTTCCTCCTGGTCATTCCTGATCCTTCCATCCACTCAGCCTTCCCACCTCTCCTTCTGCCGGCGGCACCTCCCCGATGGCCCTCACACCTATGAGGCCCTGGTTTCACCTCACTCTGCAGTCTGGTGAAAGGGATCTGGCAGATGCGACTGTCTCCATCCTGAGGGCTTATCCCGGCAGTGGCGCTGAGACCTCCCCTCACCTGGTGCTCCGAGATTTGACTCTGTGAGGTTGGCTCCTGCCTGGACTCAGGCTTTCAACCCTGGTGTCTGGGGTGCAAGGCAGGTGGGCCGCGTGCGGTGTCTTTGAGGTGGGCTGCCGTTCTGGTAGAGAGTGAGGGGATGTGGAAGTTCCATGCAGACTGTATTTTCTGGGCAAACCTGCTCAGTGTTTTTGGTAAGTAATGCCTAAAATTCAGGACTCTAATTGAAGGTATATCCCTACTTCTGACTCAAACCACTTGAAAAACTCAGTCAATAGACAGTGACGTTGGGACCCAAGTCTTTAAAGCTCTGCTGCAATTCTCATCCTTGACCGTTGGTACCGGGCAGTTGCAAAAGGCTGAGCAAGTACAGCCCAGGCAGGGAGACCACAGGGCCTGCCCGGGCCCCGGAGACGCGGCTCTCCGAAGACAAGACGTCCCGGGGGGCTGTTTTTCCATTTGGACCAGTTCCACTTGGCTTGAGATGGGCTTCACTCTAGACCCTCCTCTGCCAGCTCAGCACGAAGTGTGCATAGTCACCTGATGGCACCCTGTGATCATTTTCACGTTGTAGGAGGAAAAATCGTTTTAAAATTGGCTTAAATGAGGAGGGAACAACCTGACCGTCTTTTGATGGTGCAGCTTTTAACCCTAAAAGAATGTCAAACGAATTCATTTTTGTATATAAGTACAAATTACTTATTAGTCACAATTGCCATAGCGACTGAAGGTTTGTGTCCGCCTACCCCACGCCTCCAGTTCCTACATGGAAATCCTCACCCAAGGCCATGGTGTTAGGGGCCTTTGCAAGGCGCTGAGGCCCTGAGGAAGAGCCTCACGGATGGGCTAATGCGCTTCTGAAAGAGGCCTCAGGACGCTTCTTCACCCCTTCTGCTGTGAGATGACAGGGGAAGGCCCAACCAAAAAGTGGGCGCTCACCGACACCGAATCTGTGGGTATCTCCAGAACTGTGAGAAAGAAACCTCTGTTGTTTATCAATTACCCAAGCTATGGTATTTTCTTATAGCAGCCTGCATGGGCTGAGACACCTATCAAGTGAGTTATTAACGTTTATTAAAATTTGGCACAAACTAAAAGCCAGCAGTGTCTGCAGAGAAGCTGGATTGCCCCATGGGGCTTGGCTGTGTTGCCCCCGTCCCGTGCATGTGGACTCTGCTGAGAGTCCCACAGTTTTGGGAAGGACCCTGATGAATTGTGACCATTGGTATTGCTTAGCGTTGATTGTGGCTTTTCATTATAAATTATGTAATTGAATACTTTAATGATAAGTTGTGGCTAGTCCAGCTTCAACAGTATGGATCTGCCGATTGTCGGATATTCAGTTAATTATGCAGTGTGTGGAGAGGATATATGTGCATCAAAAGCATTTAATCCAAGAATTCCAGTGACTGGGTGTCATTTGGTGTTTTGCGGCTGACCGCTGCATTCACAACACAAGAGAAGCAGCACGTGACCTCTCCTGGCCACCCACTAGAGTCGAATTTTGTTTCCATCCCACAGTTACTCCCTCTGGCACACCCCAGGTGGAGGGGGTGGTCCAGGTGGAGGGGGCAGCCCAGGTGGAGGGGGTCGTCCAGGTGGAGGGGGTGGCCCAGGTTGGGGGGAGGCCCAGGTGGAGGGGGCCGTCCAGGTGGAGGGGTGGTCCAGGTGGATGGGGAGGCCCAGGTGGAGGGGGTGGTCCAGGTGGAGGGGTGGTCCAGGTGGGGGGGTGGTCCAGGTGGGGGGGGTGGTCCAGGTGGGGGGGGTGGTCCAGGTGGAGGGGGTCATCCAGGTGGAGGGGGCGGTCCAGGTGGGGGGGCGGTCCAGGTGAGGGGGTCATCCAGGTGGAGGGGGCGGTCCAGGTGAGGGGGTGGTCCAGGTGGAGGGGTGGTCCAGGTGGACGGGGTGGTCCAGGTGGAGAAGACGGCTCAGGTAGAGAAGGCACCCCAGGGAGAGGGGCAGCCCAGTAGAGGGGTGGCCCAGCAAGCTCCCAGGGAGAGGGACAGCCAGGTAAAGGGGTTGGCCCTTCTGCAGCTAACAGTGGTCGAAACCTTCCCTTATTACTGCCCTGAAAGGACTCAGTTTCCCCTGGGGTGTTCAGCCCTCAATTGTGATAGCAGCACCCACTGCAGGGGGCCTGGCCTGGTCATAGGCAGAGGGAGCCAGGGGGTCGGGGGCACGTTATGGCCAGTGAGTGAGGCTCATCTGTCTCCGGTAGGATCACCCTCTGTGAAGGTAGCAGCTTGCACCTTGTTGACCAGTCACCAGTGACATGGAGTGGGGCCAAGGAGGCGTCCTCACCCCGAGAACCATGCCTGTGCTCCCAGTGCCCCCGCCTGGCTCCCGCTCTGCACCTATAAAGCTGGCCTTTGTGCTGGCCCTTCTGCCTTCTGGCCATGACTTGCCTTGCTGACCTGCCCTTGGCCGGTGGAGCCTTCCAGGCAGCCTCTGCCCACGGGGCTCTCCAGGCCCTGAGTCACTGCTGGCCTGACCAGTTCAGGTGTCCTGGCTTTTGCTGTGGGGCGTCTGTCCTGGGTCTCCTGATGGTCCAGCTCTGGGCTCCCCTCCACAGTGAGCAGCCCCTCCTGCAAAAGCTCTGGTTGGGGCACATCCAAGGTCAGAAGAGGCAGATTGCAGGTCAGGCAGAGAGTGGACGGGCAACTGCTGGGACTCTGTCTCTGCTGTTCTCTGGCTATCTCTGTCTCTGATTCTTTCTCTCTGTCTCCCTGTGTCTCTCTATCTCTGTCTCTCTGTTTCTCTGTCTCTATGTCTCTGTCTCTCTGTCTCTCTCTGTCTCTTTCTGTCTCTCTCTGTCTCTGTGTCTCCGACTCCCTATCCCTCTGTCTCTTTCTATCTCTGTCTCTGTCCCTCTCCTGCTCCCTTTGTCTCTCTCTCTGTCTCTGTTCCTCTGTCTCTGTCTCTCTCTGTCTCTGTCTCTCTGTTTCTGTCTCTTGGTCCCAGCCGTCAGCTGACTTTGCTGTCCTCCTGGGCCCTGGCAGAACCACCTGGCAGGCTCCCGTCCTGTGCCATCCTGGACCCTTCACCATTGTTCCTACTCTGGCTCAGAGCACTTTCTTCTTGAAGCATCCTTTACCCACCCCAGGGACTTGAAAACTGGATTTGAAAATGCCAAATAGTTTTAAAATTAGAGCTGCAGAATGTCTTCCCCAGAGCCCAGACTTCCCAGGTGTCTGGGAAGCAAAGACAGCCAGCCTGGGCTGCAGGTATGCCCCGGGGACTGGGCACAGGATGGCAGCTGCTCACATTTATTGGCAGCAAAGGTCAAAGCAGAAACCAGGTGTGATGACGGGGATGGCCGCGCCTCCTGAGGCTGGTGTTTGGGCCTTTCTGCACCAGGCATGGCCTTGGCATTCAGGGTTACACTGCTAGGTGAGGGCCGTCTCCTTGTTCTCCTTCCATAGATGAGGAGACGAGGTTTGGCGATGGGAGGGAGCATCTGGGGCGGGGTCGGGCAGGGGCTCCTAGGAGGCCCCTTTGGGGCATTTTCCCTGAAGGCCACTCCAACAGAAGGTGGGGGTGACCGGAGGCAACAGTGGCGACTCCTGAGGGGCCTTGGAGCTCCTCCTGTGCTCCTCCGTTCAAAGTTGGGCAGCAGCCGCCACGTCCTTCCTAGAAAACAAAGCCGGGGAGGTTCAGTGTGTGCGTTCAAAAAGCTGCGATTTTCAGGCCCGGCAACGGCTTTCAACAACAATGTGGCTGCGATATTTCACACCCGCCCTGTGTGCACGCGGCTGGGATATTTCACACCCCACTCTGTGTGCGTGCGGCTGGGATATTTCACACCCGCCCTGTGTGTGTGCGGCTGGGATATTTCACACCCACCCTGTGTGCGTGCGGCTGGGATATTTCACACCCGCCCTGTGTGTGTGCGGCTGGGATATTTCACACCCGCCCTGTGTGCGGCTGGGCTGGGATATTTCACACCCTCTCTGTGTGCGGCTGGGCTGGGATATTTCACACCCTCTCTGTGTGCACACGGCTGGGATATTTCACACCCGCCCTGTGTGTGTGCGGCTGGGATATTTCACACCCGCCCTGTGTGCCTGCGGCTGGGATATTTCACACCCGCCCTGTGTGCGTGCGGCTGGGATATTACACACCCGCCCTGTGTGCGTGTGGCTGGGATATTTCACACCCGCCCTGTTTGTGGCTGGGCTGGGATATTTCACACCCACCCTGTGTGTGTGCAGCTGGGATATTTCACACCTGCCCTGTGTGCATGCGGCTGGGATATTACACACTCGCCCTGTGTGCGTGCGGCTGGGATATTTCACACCCCACTCTGTGTGCGTGCAGCTGGGATATTTCACACCCGCCCTGTGTGCGTGCGGCTGGGATATTTCACACCCGCCCCGTGTGCACGCGTCTGGGCTGGGATATTTCACACCCCGCTCTGTGTGTGTGCGGCTGGGATATCTCACACCCCGCTCTGTGTGCGTGCGGCCGCGGCTCTGATGCTTTTGCAGGCGGCATTGTGTCACTGATTCACTTAGGGGCTCTCTAATTAGCTGGCGGCTCAATGAGCTGTGATTGCAGGTGAGACACAGACTTGTTGACGGTGCTGAGGATCTCGTGCCTTGAAGAGCGCTCAAATGGGCTGTCACACCACGAGGGTGAAACAGTTACCCAAATACAGTCACTGGGGCAGCATCTCTGTGCACATAACCCAGTGTGCGTTTAAATGGCAAGCTGGGAAGAGTCAACTGCATCAGCTTCTCTCTAAATTACGGGCTGGAGGTGGCAGGGAGGTGAGGTGAAGGAGGTAGGAAACAGTGTTCCTAAGTCCGTGGTCACAGCTGGTCACGTGGAGAGATGCCCAGAGCTCTTGCTGTAGAGTCAGGAAGAACAGAAGCTCAGCCTGGCATAGAGGTTGGGTTTTTTGCTGCCCTTGGTTTGTACACAGCACTAAAAATGTTTCTGAGTTTAATCTACTTAAATGATGGAAGGATATGAGAGAGGTGAGAGAGAAGGCCTGCAGAAGCTTAGGCTGTGCCCACAACGGCTCTAACCAGGAGCTCTCAGGGGCGAGGGGCAGGCCCCCAGGCCACGGTGATCCCGCTCAGATGCTCAGTCACCCCCGTGTAAGGGTTCCCACTGCCACCTCCTTGAGGTGGAAGGTGGGGTGTGGAGCCCACGTCCATCATCTCCCTGAATTC